>NC_000003.12:194611571-194762570 GCF_000001405.40 Homo sapiens
TGTAACCGGGAAGTGGATCGTTTAAACGCGCCCCAGATGATTCTAACGTGCGGCCAAGTTTGCGAACCACTGCAATAGGTGCCCAATAAGTGCTTTTGCAAAGCTGTGGTTCTCTAACCTTGATGCACATCAGAAGCACCCTGTGGGTTTTGCTAAAATACAGATTGCAGCCGGGCGCGGTGGCTCACGCCTGTAATCCCAGCACTTTGGGAGGCCGAGGCAGGCCGATCACCTGAGGTTAGGAGTGCGAGACCAGCCTGGTCAACATAGTGAAACCCTGTCTCTACTAAAAATACAAAAATTGGCTGGGCAAGGTGGCGTGTGTCTGTAATCCTAGCTACGTGGGAGGCGGAGGCAGGAGAATCGCTTGAACCCAGGAGGCGGAGGTTGCAGCAAGCTGAGATCGTGCCACTGCAATCCAGCCTGGACAACAGTGAGACTCCGTCTCAAAAATAAATAAATAAATAAATAAATAAATAAATAAATAAAATACAGATTGCTGGACCACACCCTCAGTTTCAGATTCGGGAGATCTGGGTGGAGCCCCCAAATCTGCATTTCTCACAGTTTCCCAGGTAATCCTGGTCTAGGGCCCACACTTTGAGAACCACTGCTCTGAAGAACTGCTAGAGACTCCAGAGGCTTCTACTTCTCTCTTCAGAATTCCAAGACACACAGGGCTCTGTTAATATTTTGGCCCCCTTTTGGAATATAATTTCCTAACAGTTGCTAGAAAGAAATGAAAATAACTTCCCACTAGGGCCTCATGGGAACGTGGCTCTTTGGTCTGGGCACCTATATAAAAAATGCTTTCCTCTGCGTCACATACACCACGATCTTCTATTTCACGGACTCAGTCGGATCACATGGTTAAGCCATTTGGAGAACATTCGGAGGGGCAGTTTTTGTTTTTGTCGGTCCAAATGCACTCCCCATCACTTCCTCCATCCTGGCCACGGAGGAAGTTACTCACAGCCTCACACCCACTCTCTGTGAGAGGAGTCTAAGGTAGTGAAGAGCCCAGGTAATAGATGAGAGTTTTTTCCAAAAAAAAAAAAAAATTGAAATCTTAGAAAAGAGGGAGCCATTTTATATTCAAGTCCTTTTTTTTGAGACGGAGTCTCGCTCTGTCGCCCAGGCTGGAGTGCAGTGGCGGGATCTCGACTCACTGCAAGCTCCGCCTTCTGGGTTCACGCCATTCTCCTGCCTCAGCCTCCCGAGTAGCTGGGACTACAGGCACCCGCCACCGCGCCCAGCTAATTTTTTGTATTTTTAGTAGAGACGGGGTTTCACTGTGGTCTCGATCTCCTGACCTCGTGATCCGCCCGCCTCTGCCTCCCAAAGTGCTGGGACTACAGGCCTGAACCACTGCACCCAGCCTATATTCAAGTCCTTACAAGCTTTCTTTGAGTTACTTTCTCAATTATTTGGAACCAAAAACTTTTGATGAAGACAAATGGCCTCAATTAGAGTAAGTTCTGACTACTTGTAGAGGTCATCTGTTTAAATCAATAAAAGGAGACGCATTAACTTTAGCCGGTGGCATGACATAATTGTAAAGGTTTGATATTGCTGTAAACAACACTTATTTTTTATTTTTATTTATTTATTTATTTATTTTCTTGAGACAGATTTTCACTTTATTGCCCAGGCTGGAGTACAGTGGCACGATCCCGGCTCACTGCAACCTCCGCCTCCTGGGTTCAAGTGATTCTCATGTCTCAGCCTCCTGAGTAGCTGGGATTACAGGTGCCCGCCACCACGCCCAGCTGATTTTTGTATTTTTAGTAGAGACGGAGTTTCACCACGTTGCCCAGGCTGGTCTCGAACTCTTGAGCTCAGGCAATCTGCCCATCTCGGCCTCCCAAAGTGCTGGCATTACAGGCATGAGGCACCATGCCTGGCTTAATGAACACTTTAAAAAAAAAGTTTTTTTTCGAGACGGAGTTTTGCTCTTGTTGCCTAGGCTGGAGTGCAATGGTGCGATTTTGGCTTACTGCAACCTCCGCCTCCCAGGTTCAAGCGATTCTCCTGCCTCAGCCTCCTGAGTAGCTGGAATTACAGGCGCGTGCCACCACACCCAGCTAATTTTTGTATTTTTAGTAGAGACAGGAGTTTCACCACGTTGGTCAGGCTGGTCTCGAACTCCTGACCTCATGATGCACCCACCTCGGCCTCCCAAAGTGTTGGGATTACAGGCGTGAGCCACTGCACATGACCTCCTAAACAACACTTAAAGATCAGATTTCTAGCATAAAAAAACAGAATAGGCCGGGCCCGGTGGCTCACACCTGTAATCCCAGCACTTTGGGAAGCCGAGGTGGGCGGATCATCTGAGGTTGGGAGTTTGAGACCAGCCTGACCAACATGGAGAAACCCAGTCTCTACTAAAAATACAAAATTAGCCGGGCATGGTGGTGCATGCCTGTAATCCCAGCTACTTGGGAGGCTGAGGCAGGAGAATCGCTTGAACCCGGGAGGCGGAGGTTGTGGTGAGCCGAGATCGTGCCACGGCACTCCAGCCTCGGCAACAAGAGCAAAACTCCGTCTCCAAAAAACAAAATAAAACAAAACAAAACAAAAAACCAAAAAAACCACAAGGAATAGAGTAAGTAGTTACATTGCAGTGACCACAAACAGCAAATGGGTCCTCGTGGCTTGAGAGGACTTTCTAGAGGCAGCATCACAAGCCGATTTCCAAAGGCTGGATCATGTAGCTGGGCATGACGACAGGCTCTGGAGCACCGTGTTAGGTGGTGGTAATGATGTGGATATTAAAGATGCATGTGAAAGTGGGAATACAGTTTTTGAAGAAATATGAGTGAAAATCACATAATTTACTTATGTTTTTGAGATGGGGTCTCACTCTGCAGCTCAGGTTGTAGTGCGGTGGCGCCATCTTGGCTCACTGCAACCTCTGCCTCCAGGATCAAGAGATCCTCCTGCCTCAGCCTCCTAAGTAGCTGGGACTACAGGCACACACCACCATACCCGGCCAATTTTTTTTGTATTTTTGGTAGAGACGGGGTTTCACCCTGTTGCCCAGGCTAGTCTTGAGCTCCTGAGCTCAAGCAATCTGCCTGCCTTGGCCACCCAAAGTGCTGGGATTACAGGCATGAGCCACTGCACCCGGCCAAAAATCACATTATTTAAAAATGAATATATTAAGGTATGTAGCATGTGAACTTAACTACCAGTAAGTAAATTATTCAAAAGCTTCAAGTGGGCATGCGACTATTCCATCTACATTGCTAAAAATATAAGCCATTAAGTGACCAAAAAACTTCAAAACATTTGTATAATTGCGAAACCGGAGGATCCTATGGCATTCAGGCTTCCCTTAGCTTTGAACATAGACAGTAGCTTTTTAAAGTGACCAACTGGGCTACGCACCACGGCTTATGCCTGTAATCCCAGCACTTTGGGAGGCCAAGGTGGGCAGATCACCTGAGGTCAGGAGTTCGAGACCAGCCTGGCCAACATGGTGAAACCCCATCTGTCTCTACTAAAAATACAAAATATTAGCCGGGCGTGGTGACATGTGCCTGTAATCCCAGCTACTTGGGTGGCTGAGGCAGGAGAATTACTTGAATCTGGGAGGCGGAGGTTGCAGTGAGCTGAGATTGTGCTACTGCACTCCAGCCTGGGCAACAGAGCAAGACTCCATCTCAATCAATCAATAGATTAAAAAAAAATAAAAATAAAGCGACCAACTGGGCAAGCAGGGAGGGACTTCTGGAATTCCCAAGCCCCGGCCCTCATGGAGGCTCAATGCCCCGTCCACTCCATGCCAGTAAACAGGAAGGGCCCGTTACATGTCATGTGTTAGGTTTGGCCACTATTCCCTCAGCGAGACAGGACAGCTGTCTGAGTCGCCTGCAGAGAACACTCGGCAGGCAGCTTTCACACGTCCGTCCGCAGTATCCTGCTGTTTCTCAAGATACTGTTGCTGGGACCAGAGTTTTCCAGCCAGAGAGACCTTGTCCTCGTTCCTCACCTCCTGGTTTTCTTCCTCTTTCTCTGCACAGGTCAAAAGGGCTTGGGTGTCAGGGCTCTCTCTGGCTTCCTTGGCAAATCCTAAGGCCTGTCTCATCTTGCTCTTCATCACACACGAAAGGAAAATAATCTGAGATGGTGTAAGTTAAGGTAGGAAGCAGAATATTCCAGCTGCCTAGCGTGGCCCTTCACCCCTCCACACCATGCTGCCACCCCCCTCCCCACTCACCTACTCTCCTCCCTCCCCTGTATTATCCTGCCTGGGACAGAGAGGAGCTCATCTGAAGACAGGGCTAGGGTGGATGTTCCTGTCCTCACGAGGGCCCAGCATCCAATGTGACCCTGTCCCTAACAAGGACATGGTAAATATTTGCAAAACTAAAGCATTTTGGAAAACGTCTTTCTTGACAGGCCTGGCTTACAGTGACAATACATGCAGTGGGTTGAATAGTGTCCCTCAAAATTCAGATCCACCTCTGAATGTGACCCCCTTTTTTTTTTTGAGACAGAGTCTCGCTCTGTCACCCAGGCTGGAGTGCGGTGGTATGATCTTAGCTCACTGCAACCCCTGCCTCCCTGGTTCAAGCGATTCTCTCGCCTCAGCCTCCCAAGTAGCTGGGATTACGGGCACCTGCCATCATGCTCGGGTAATTTTCGTATTTTTAGTAGAGACCGGGTTTCACCATGTTGGCCAGGCTGGTCTCAAACTCCTGATCTCAGATGATCCTCCCATCTTGGCCTCCCAAAGTGCTGGGATTACAGTCGTGAGCCACCGTGCCCGGCCCAGACTGTGACCTTATTCGGAAGTAGGGTCCTTGCTGATACAATTAGACAATGAAGTCATAGTGGATTGGACTGGGCCCTAACTCCAACAGCTGGGGTCCCTATAAGAAAAGGAGACACACGAAGATACACAAAGGGAAGAAGGCCACATGAAGGGCAAGGCAGAAATGTAAACGACACTGCCATGCATCAAGGGACACCAGGAGCCACTAGCAGCTCCTGCAGCTCCACTGGCAGCTGGAAGAGGCAAGCGAAGATTCCCCTCTTAGCGCCTGCAGACGGCGTGGCCCTGCCTTGCCTTCACACACACCCCACCACCAACACGCCACAGCCATTAACCACAGTCAGCATCTAAAAATACAAACATTTTTAGTCTCCACTAAAAATAACAAAAATTAGCCAGACGTGTTGGCATGCACCTGTAGTCCCAGCTACTCGGGAGGCTGAGGCAGGAGAATTGCTTGAAATTGGGAGGTGAAGGTTGCAGTGAGCCAAGATCACGCCACTGCACTCCAGCCTGGGCAACACAGCGAGACTCCATCTCAAAACAAACAAACAAAAAAAGGAAACATAAAACTACAAATAATTGCATTTGTGTTTGCCTGCCCCAAGCTTCAAACCACTCCCTTACTGCTGGGAGAGTTCCATCTAGCAAGAGAAAAGAAGGGTGGGGCAGGGGCAGTGAGAGGACGAGACACAGGCCTCCTCTGGCTGCAAGCAGGGAGCTCCCCAGGCCTGGGGTGGATACAGCGAGGTCCAGTGCCGCACGGCCGAGGGAGGTCAGGAACCAGGGTGTGGCCCGCAGCAGGTACTCAGGGTGCTGGTCGTGGGCCACAATGGCCGAGGCATAGAGGAGGCCAGCCAGGGCCGACAGGAGCCGGGTCCACAGGTGGATGGAGGGAAATGTCTTCCCCCGGCACTGGGCAGAGAGAGGGAGGGGCTGGGCGGGAGAAGCAGCAGATCACAAGACCCAGGGCCCTCAGTGGCACAGCAGGTTGCGGGGCAAGCCCTCTGCCTGCAGCCAGTCCTCCAGGGCAATGCTTCTGTTAGACTTACAGCTTTTGCTCGAGTTGCTTCTTCTGCCTGTCAAACTCCTACTCATCCCTCAGAACCTGGCTTCAACTTAACTCTGGGAAACCTCCCCTTACCAACTCCACCCTAAGGCGAGCAAGCAACTCCCTTTTCTGGGCCCTAACGCATCCCTCCAGCGGAGTACCTTTGATTGATCATGACTCAGCTCTTTACACAGTCAGAGAGCTCCTGAGGGCTGGGCAGGGGTCCTCACCATCTCAGTGCCCAGCACCTGACGCTGGGCAGCGGCTCGCCAATGTCCGCTGGGAGAACGTGAGGGAGACTGGGATGGTTTGGACATTTGTCCCCGCCAGATCTCATGTTGAGTCGTAATCCCCAGTGTCGGAGGTGGGGCCTGGTGGGAGGTGGTTGGGTCATGGGGTGGATATCTCATGAATGGTCTGGCACCATACCCTGGGTGCTGTCCTCACGACAGTGAGTGAGTTCTCCTGAGATCTGGCTGTTCAAAAATGTGTGTGTGGCACCTTCCCTTCCACCCTCTTGCACTCTCTCTCTCTCTGCCTGCTCACACTTTGCCTTCCGCCATGAGTAAAAGGTCCCTGAGGCCTCCCCAGAAGCCCAGCAGATGCTGGCGTCATGCTTGGGAGCCTGCCAAACCGTGAGCCAATTACACCTGGTTTCCTTATGAGTGACCCGGCCTGAGGCATTCCTTTAGAGCAATGCAAGAACAGCCTAACACAGAGACCGGATCAGAAGAGCTGAGGCCCGGCCCTTCTCTCCCTGGGACCCCGATTCTGACCCAGGTCACATGGGGAAGATCCGAAAAATGAGAGATGATATTCTGGAAATTTTAAAGCCAAGAGGACATTTCTGGAGAATATGTAATAAAACTATTGGTTCAATAAAAGGAAATATGCACTATTTATATTTCTATGTAAGCAGCCTTTATATACAGAAAGTCACTATATATATGAATATGTATATACACAAACACCATATATTTCTGATTACATACTTATATATTTAAATATATATGAATAAAAATTGTAAATAGTTTATATTAAACTCATTAGATGAGTTATATATAAACTAAATTATAATTCATTAGATGAGTTCATATATATACAAATTATATTTATATAATTTAGTTTTATATAAATTAAATTATATATAGTTAAGTTTATATATAATTTAGTTTATATATATAATTCAGTTTATATATAATACATATAAAATTTAGTTTATATACATAATACACATATAAACTCATTAGATGACTCATTAAATATGTTCATTTCATGACCATATTTACAGATATATAGGCCTTGGCTAGGGAATGGGAAAAATTCAGGAGAAAAAGCATGTTTTGGCCAATTTTGCCCCATTTTAAGTTTAATTCTCAAAAAGAATCCTTAAGAGTGTCACATTTCCCTCTGCGTCCCCTCCAGTTTTGTCTCCAGGCCTCCCTGTGTCTGGCCTGCGCCCTGAAGACTGCTTAACCGAGAGACAGCACAGTCCCACGCTTCTCCGTGGAGCAGCCGGCTGGGAGGGTGAGCCCTGGCCCGCTGGGCCCAGAGGCTGAGGGTGGAGACGACGCCCTTTCCCATCGGCCCTTCCTATCTCACACAGGAAGCAGCACTGCTATGGCTAGAGGTGCTTGGGGCCCCCCGACCTAACCACCCACCACCATGTTACAGAGGACACTGACGGCCAGAGTGGGGCTGGGCCTGGGCCTCCTGCCTCTTGGCCTTGCTCTTGCTGCTGCTCAGGATGAACTGCACGGGGAAGCCCTCTGTCCTCGCTCACATGCTAACCCAGTGACAGCGCCCACTGTCCTCCAAATCAGTCCCTTCTCAGGGTCAGTCCTGGGGCCGACCCTGAAAAAAATAGAGAGCTCTATTTATCTGCAGTGCCAGACAAACAGTAGATGCTTAATCACGGCTTGAAGAACGGAACTGGATTGTGACTGGATGAGACATGGCAGTCCCTCTCCAACCTAGGCAGGCCTTGCCTACAGACAGGATGGAGGTCGGCAGCACGCCCCAGCCTGGGCTGCCTGGCACATCCATGTAAGGGGCTGGAGGCAGGACAGGCCTCGGATGGTCTCTGCAGCTGCCAGGACTCCTGGTGTCAGCACAACGCTTCACTCATCAGTGGGTGTTTCGTACCCCTGTCCCATTCGAGGACTCACTCCTGGAGCAATGGGAACTTTCCCACCAAAGCCACCCAGCCATCTTCTCCTCAGCAACCTCACCATGGCCAAATTAGGAGCAGCTTCTGGGAGAGCCAGGGTCTGAAGCCATGCTGGCCTGGCTTCCCAGAACACCCCAAACCCTGCTGGGTTTCTCCCTATGAAGGGAACCCTAGCTCTCGGCTCTTCCTCCTGGAACCAGAGTCACTGAGAGGCAGCAGCAGCTCCTTCCCTAGAAATACGGCATGTTTCCTTTCCTGAGTCCCCAGGGCAATCTCACTCTATCGTCCTGCCCAGGGGCCCTCAGGCTTCAATACCTTGTAGTGATGAGGAGACGACTACCTCCTAAGGCAGGGGTAATGCTGGCGGCTCTCCAGATGCTGGGCACTGTACAGTGTCTTACCCTGAAGTTCTTCCTTTTACTCAACAGGAAGGGGCTGGGCACAGTGGCTCACACCTGTAATCCCAGCACTTTGGAAGGCCGAGGCGGGTGGATCACCGAATGTCAGGAGTTCGAGACCAGCCTGGCCAACATGGAGAAACCCTGTCTCTACTAAAAATACAAAAATTAGCTGGGCGTGGTGGTGCATGCCTGTAGTCCCAGCTACTCGGGAGGCTGAGGCAGAAGAATCGCTTGAACCCAGGAGGCGGAGTTTGCAGTGAGCCGAGATCGTGCCATTGCACTCCAGCCTGGCTGACAAGTGAAACTCCGACTCAAAAAAAAAAAAAAAAAAAAAAATACCAGGAAGGGCCCACCCCCAACCTCTTCCCTGTCTTGGTTCTGTTCTCTGAGACTTAAGAGAACAAGGCTGCTCTTTCTGCCCCCACACAGCCCTTCTGATTCCTGCACTCATCAGCTTCCTTTTTTCCAGGCCAGATTAGATTGCTCTCTAAGTGTTTGCTGACTCCTACCATGATCAGGTCCCAGGTGCCTGCAATGCAGTGGGAAATGACACAGACAAGGCCACTGCCCACAAGGTGTTAACATTCCACCTCAGGACCGGGCAGCAACCGGGAAAATAAAGGGGCACATTTCAGGTTGTTACAAATGATCTGAAGAAAATAAAGCAGAGTGAGGGGACACAGTGGTGGGGCTGGCCTGGGGGCTGTTTTAGGTGGGGTGGTGTTATGAGTTGCAATGTGTGCCCCCAAAAGATGTTGAAGTCCCTAGGCCGGGCGTGGTGGCTCAAACCTGTGAGGCCAAACACTCTGGGAGGCCAAGGCGGGCAGATCACTTGAGGTCAGTAGTTCGAGACCAGCCTGGCCAACATGGTGCACTCTCGTCTCTACTAAAAATACAAAAATTAGCCGGGCGTGGTGGCGTGTGCCTGTAATCCCAGCTACTTGGGAGGCTGAGGCACAGAATCACTGGAACCCGGGAGGCAGAGGTTGCAGTCAGCCGAGATTGCATCATGCACTCCAGTCTGGGCAACAGAGCGAGACTCTGTCTCAAAAAAAAAAAAAAAAAAGATGTTGAAGTCCCAACCCCCAGTGTCTGTGAATGCGGCCTTATTTGGAAATAGGGTCTTTGTGGATGATCACGTCAAGATGAGGTCATTAGGATGAGTCCCATTCCAATGTCCTTATAAAAAGGAGCAAGTCGGACACAGAAAGGTACGGAGGGAAGGCCACGAGAAACCCAGGGTTACCACAAGCCAAGGGGCTACCCGAACCTGGGAGAGGAGCGAGGCCTGGAACAGATCCTTCCCTGGCGCCTGCAGAGGGAGCATGGCCCTGCCGGCACCTTGCTCTCAGACTTCTGACCTCTGGCACCGAGACAATAAACTTCTGTTGTTGAAAGTTAGTGGCACTTTGTTACGACAGCCCTAGGGAGCTACTACCGGCGGTCAGGGCACGGTGCCAGCTTCTTCAAAGGCCTTCATGCAATGTGGTCTCCCAGCTCTGACACCACCCTGGAGAGCCACCCCGGTGGGCTGCTGAGCTGAGCCCAGTGCTCACCACTCTCCCCTCCATTAATCTAAAGACAGGACACCTGCTGATGAGGCCCAGGCCCTGCGAGGCTTCTGGCAGTCACAGCACAGAATGCAGCTTCACTGACTTCACCAACAACCGCGAACAACCCTCCAGCCCTGAATCCTGTTCCCCTGGAGCTGCTATTCAACCAAGATGCTCCTGGGCAAGTAATTTTTTTTTTTTTTTTTAGATGGAGTAGTGCTCAGTCACCTAGGATGGAGTGCAGCAGCACGATCTCGGCTCACTGCAACCCCCACCTCCTGGATTCAAGTGATCCATCCTGCCTCCACAGTAGCTGGGATTACAGGCACCCGCCACCACGCCTGGCTAGTTTTTGTATTTTTAGTAGAGACGGGGTTTCAGCATGTTGGCCAGGATGGCCTTGAACTCCTGACCTCAGGTGATCCACCTGCCTCGGCCTCCCAAAGTGCTGGCATTACAGGCATGAGCCACCGCACCCAGCTGATTCTTTTCAGACTAAATGGGCCTATGACTTGCCATGGAGTTGGGTTTGCCCACTGTTCTGTCAGTGAGACAGGAACAGTTGTCTCAGAGTCGTCTGCAGAGGAAACTTGGCAGAGCAGCGGTCACACGTCCACAGTGTCTTGCTGTTTCTCAGGCGCTTTCGCACGTGGGGGCTTTTCCTGTGTGCTCTCCTCTGCCGATGGCCTTTCCCTAGCCTGTGTCCTCAAATTCACGCTCCCTTCTGAGGTAACGTGACGCCTCCCCACCACCCCACGGTCTGGCAGTGTAAACAGTTTTCACCCTTGCTCATTTGAAGAGCGTAGGAGCCTTCTCTCTCTTCTGAAACCCCAAACATTTGTTTCTATCTTTCTTGAAGCGTGAGGAGATGCTGCTTCACATTCCCGTGTCTTCCATGAGACTGAGCTCCCGGAGGGCAAGCGCTCGCCCCTGCTCACATCTTACCCCCCCCAGCACTGGCCGACACAGGGCCTCCCTCAACGTGGATGCCTGGAGAATGCCTGCCCATAAGACACTCTTTTTTTTTTTTTTTTTTTTAGACGGAGTTTCCCTCTTGTCGCCCAGGCTGGAGTGCAGTGGCACAATCTCGGCTCACTGCAACCTCTGCCTCCTGGGTTCAAGCGATTCTCCACCTCAGCCTCCAGAGTAGCTGGGATTACAAGCATGCACCACCATGCCTGGCTAATTTTTGTATTTTAGTAGAGACAGGGTTTCACCGTGTTGGTCAGGCTAGTCTCCAACTCCTGACCTCAAGCGACCCGCCCCGCCTCGGCCTCGCAAAGTGCTGGGATTCCAGGCGTGAGCCCCCGCGCCCGGCCTAAGACACTCTTGATCTACACAGAACCTCACACCTGGCTGCCTGTCCGGTGTCAAATCTCCTTCTCTTATGGGTTCAGCCTCAGGGGCTTCTTCCTCAGAGCCTGCTTTTCATTTGCTATAGGAAATGGGGAAGAACACACGGGCTTTCCCCGAGAGGCTCCCGCCGTCCTCAGGACGCCCTGGGTTGGCTGCCCACTCTCCACACACACCCCCTCCTTGCTGTCATACACACTAACGCTCTTCAGGAAAAGCTGAGCCCATGTCCATGCACCCACGGTGACGCCACACCTCCGCCCCATGACCCTCTCAGGATGCTCCCAGATGCCCTGAGACTGTCATGTGACCCACAGTCCCATCCCCACCCCCGGCCTCACAATTCTGGAGAGAGGGGGGATCCGAGAAGCCCAGGAGCCAAAGGCAGCAACGCTACCCAGCAGGTAGCCGAGGATCTCAGTATTTTCCTGCAAGAACGAACAGGTGATCCACCATCAGTACTCTGCAGAGACTGCCCATGTGCCCCAAGAAACAGCCAAAGCTCAGGAGTCCTTTTCTGCTTTTAGAGGGTTCTTCCAACAAAGGAAGGCTTAACCCCACTCCCCTAGCCCCGGCCTCATCCCACCCTGGGCATTTGGCAGGACATGCAGTACCCCGAGTCCTCCCCACGGTGGCCCAGCCTCACCTGCAGCAGGCTCGCTAGCAGCCTCCGCTGTGGCCCCCGGATGGTGGCTGAAGCCTTCGGGACAGCAACCCACAGAGCCCAGCACGGGCCCAGGCTCAGCGGCAGGGCCAGGGCAAACACACTGGCCCTGAGCTGCCGCCTCCTCTTCCTCTCTCGGGCTTCCCGATCTGCAACAGACACCAAAATCCCACATGGCTCCTGGAAGCCAGACCTTGTCAGATCAGATAGCTGCGTGGGAAGAACTGGTGTCAGCTCCCCACATGATGCTGAAGCGGGTTCCCACATTATTCTGCAGGCCAGCTCCTCCCCACCCTTCAGGGCCCTGTAGTTGTGCCACCTCTTCAAGGAGTCTTTCCTCTCCACCACTGACTGCACACCCCACCCCCATAACGTGCTGCCCTCCTTCCTCAGGCAGAGATGACATTATCTTCTCTCTATGCATCTGCGTGCAGACAGCAGTGCCTCTTCTGGACTAGAGCGCCTAAGGATAAGGCACCATCCTCTGGTGGTTTCTACAATCTCCACAGAGCAGAACCGGTACAAGTGTGGTACAAGCATCGACCCGTGAATCAGCGATGGCACCAGCGGGAACTGTGCGCGGGACAAACAGCAATGAGCAGTGTCTTTGTCCCTGAACTGTAAGATAGGCACTCCTCTGAGCAATTCTGTTTATTTTTTCTTTTTGAGATGAGGTCTCATTAGGTTGCCCAGGCTGGACTTGAACTCCTGGGCTCAAGCGATCTCCCACCTTGGCCTCATGAGTGGCTGGGATTCCGGGTGTAAGCCACTGCCCAGCTCTCTCCTGAGAAACTCTAAGAAGAGCATTTCTCTTCTGGGCAGCATTGAGCCGCTGAGGGCATGCTTCACTACACACTGCTGCAGCACCCCCTCTGATTCATTTATTATTTTTGAGACAGGGTCTCGCTGTCACCCAGGCTGGAGTGCAGTGGCACAATCACAGCTCACTGCAGCCTCCACCTCCTGGGCTCAAGTGATCCTCCCACCTCAGTCTCCCAAACAGCTGGGACCACAGGCATGCACCATCATGCCCAGCTACTTTTTAAAATGTTTGTAGAGATAGGGTCTTGCTATGTTGCCCAGGCTGGCCTCAAACTTTTGGCCTCAAGCAATCTTCCCAACTCAGCCTCCCGAAGTGCTGGGATTACAGGCATGAGCCACCACACCACTTGGTTCATCCCCTTTTTTTTTTTGAGACAGAGTTTTGCTCTTGTTGCCCACGTTGGAGTGCAGTTGTGCGATCTGCAACCTCCAGTTCCCGGGTTTAAGCAATTCTCCTGCTTCAGCCTCCCAAATAGCTGGGATTATAGGTGCATGCCACCACATCCAGCTAATTTTTGTATTTTTTTAGTAGAGACAGGGTTTCACCATGTTGGCCAGGCTGGTCTCGAACTCCTGACCTCAAAATGATCTGCTTGCCTCAGCCTCCCAAAGTGCTGGGATTACAGGTGTGGGCCACCATGCCCGGCCCCCTCATCCCCTCTTTTTGAACAAGGGCCCAAGCACATGGCTGACCCTTCTCAAGAAGCCGCAACCACAGACACTCGGGGCCACTCATCCTGGCCCAGTCATTTCCGACCCCTGCTGTGCCTGTGGTGGTGCCCTGTGCCCATTCCTGGCATCCACTTCCAGTAGCTGTGAAGCTTCGCTTGACCACCCCGAACTTGCACACTAAGCTATCACTGCTCATGCCCATGCCCTGCTCCACACCTCCTCCTAGCCTTTGCCCATGCTGCTCTGTGTGCCTGGAGTGCCCTGCCTGTGGCCCCAGCTCTAGTGCCCCATGCTTCCTTGACACCAGCAGCCCTTCCCTCCCTCTGGCTGCCCACAGTGTGCACACACCTCCAAGCTGGCAGCCCTAATGAGACACTCTCCTTCTTTTTTGGGGGGGGGGGGTTGTTTTTGTTTTTTGTTTTTTTTGAGACGGAGTCTCGCTCTGTCACCAGGTTTGTTGAGACGGACTCTTGCTCTGTCGCCAGGCTGGAATGCAGTGGTGCGATCTCAGCTCACTGCAACCTCCGCCTCCTGGGTTCAAGCGATTCTCCTGCCTCAGCTTCCCGAGTAGCTGGAATTACAGGCGCACGCCACCACACCCGGCTAGTTTTTGTATTTTCAGTAGAGACAGGGGTTTCACCATGTTGGCCAGGATGGTCTGGATCTCCTGACCTCATGATCTGCCCACCTCAGCCTCCCAAAGTGCTGGGATTCCAGGCGTGAGCCACCGCGCCCAGCCTTTCTCCTTTGTTTGTGCCTGGCTGGGGCCCGCTCTGGGAGTGATAAGGAGTAGGCATTCGGCGTGCTGATGAATGAATGGGTGAATAAAGACAGGAAAAGACAGCCACACACTCACCTGAATTAGACTTGAATTTGGATCCACAGACTGGGAAGAGAATGAACATAAAGTTCACTAAGTCAATAGCTGCTAGGTAGGCACCAGTGAAAACCTGGGAGCAAACGGGAAGAGAGTCTTGGCATTCAAGCATCTTTCCTCAGCCCCTACAGAGTTTGTCATCCGGGACCCTGTATCACATGGGTTACACTGATGCGGTGCTTTCTTACGTACTCCTCCAGGGACACCTCCTGCCAACCCCGGAAAAGTCCATTATCATGTCCACTTGGCTGATGAGGAGATGAGGTGTTTACATGACTGAACCCACGGTATGCAGATGCCCACCAGCAGGGTTGGGATAAGAGCCCAGCCCTCCAGCTCTATTCCACACACTTCCCACTGCGTGAGGCAGTCTCTGCTGTGTACCCTTGGCCCACTGAGCTTCTCTGGCGCTCAGTTTCCCCATCTGTAAAACGAGCAAACTAACAGTGCTTCCCTCAAAGACTGTCAGGAAGGTTACTTGAGACAGTACATGGGCAGTGTTTACACCAGTGTCTATGGGAAAGCAAACTACCTCTAAAGGCACCAGCTCCTCTGATAGTAGAGTTAGCGGTGAAGAACTTGCATTGTGGAGTTTGAATCGCGGAATCTTGGCACTGCTACTTACTAGATGGGTGACCCTTAACCTCTCTATGCTTCAGTCTCTACATCTGTAGAACAGGAATAATGAGGACACTCATGTCATAGGATGCTGGGATTCCAGGAGTCAACACAAAACGGTCTGTAGTGCCAAGTATGTAGTTAAGTTTTTTTTTTTTTTTTTTTTGAGACGGAGTCTCGCTCTGTCACCCAGGCTGGAGTGCAGTGGCGTGATCTCGGCTCACTGCAAGCTCCACCTCCTGGGTTCACGCCATTCTCCTGCCTCAGCCTCCCGAGCAGCTGGGACTTCAGGCGCCTGCCACCACGCCCGGCTAATTTTTTTTTGTATTTTTAGTAGAGACAGGGTAGTTTTTAATAAATATTATTATTGGACTTGAGCTGGGACCTACTGTATTTTTTTTTTTTTGAGACGAAGTCTTGCTGTTGCCCAGGCTGGAGTGCAGTGGCACGATCTCGGCTTACTGCAACCTCCGCCTCCCAGGTTCAAGTGATTCTCCTGCCTCAGCCCGCTGAGTAGCTGGGACTACAGGCACGCGCCACCACGCCCAGCTAGTTTTCTCCATGTTGGCCAGGCTGGTCTTGATCTCCTGACCTCAGGCAATCTGCCCGCCTTAGCCTCCCAAAGTGCTGGGATTGCAGGCATGAACCACTGTGCCCAGCTGGCCCTATTGTATTCTATTAGCTAATGAGAATGGGCACCCAAAATGAAAGGTGATTTGCTTTTGAGACAACACTGCTTGAAGCAGGGTCTAGAATGCTCCAAATCTGTGCTCTGCCAACTGAGCTGCCTTCCTTCATTTCTACCTGGATGGGCATAAGACCAAGACCAGTCCCATGAGGTGCCTCCGCAGGAGGGCACAACAGGTTTTCCTGGGGATATGTGTTTTGGGATAGGAGCCTTCCACACAGGTTTGAGGGCCTACGCTTTTGAGAAACTTGAAACTACTTCTCACTTGCCCCAAAGCCTACACCACTACCTGGGAAAGGACTCAGCCACCCTACATAAGCTGGGGCTGGGTCAAAGCTCTAAATGACTATGTATTGGGCACCTACTAGGAGCCAGGTGCTGTTTTAAGTGATGGGGATACAGCAGTGAACAAATCCTTGCCCTTGTAGAGCTGACACTCTAATGGGAGTTCACATACAAGAAGTAATAAACAGGTCAGGCGTGGTGGCTCAGGCCTGTAATCCTAGCACATTGGGAGGCTGAGGCAGGCAGATTGTCCTGAGGTCAGGAGTTCGAGACCAGCCTGGGCAACATGGTGAAACCCCATCTCTATTAAAAATACAAAAAATTAGCCAGTGTGGTGGCGTGCGCCTGTAATCCCAGTTACTCGGGAGGCTGAGGCAGGAGAATTGCTTGAACCCAGGAGACGGAGGCTGCAGTGAGCCAAGACCAAGTCATTGCATTCCAGCCTGGGCGACAGAGTAAGACTCTGTCTCAAAAAACAAACAAGCAAAAAAAAAAGTCACCTTCTCAATAAGACCTCCCCTGCTTATAATGGTGACCCACCTCTTCCACCAGTGTTCTGGATTCCCTTATTCTAATCTATTTAGAGGCCTGCCTCGGCCTCCCAAAGTGTTGATTACAGTGTGAGCCACTGCTCCTGGCCGTGAGAAGTGACTTTTGAGCAAAGACGTGAAGGACTAAGCAGGCAGCCAAGTGGATATTGGGAACAAGAGCCTCTGAGGGGGGCAGAAGGAACAGCCAGGCACAGGTTCTGAGGTGACACTGTGCTATGCATGTTGCAGCAACAAGACAAAAGCCACCACGGCTGCAGCAGAGAGAAAGGCCAGGCCTCCCTTAGTGCTGGCCTAAGCCACTGTCAGCTGGAGGCCCAACATACCTGGATTGTGAGCTGTCTGGCCAGAAGAGCCCCGACGGTGTCACACAGACTGGTCAGGAGGCAGCACGCAGCACACAGTGCCGACTGGTCCTGTCTGGGTTTCTGTGCACATCTCAGATAGAGAAGCCTGGGGTGACAGGGGTGTGGACAGAACACAGCAACTGTGAGTTTGGACCCAAACGCATGTATCTAAAAAGGGCAACTGTGACCCCGCATCGTCAGGGAGCTCTTTCTGCCCGAGGTATTTAGGACGTGTTTTTGAACTGAGTTTACAGATGGGAACCAATCAGAAGACTCCAGAGCCGCCTGTCCAGATGCCCATGGCAGGAGCTAGACCTCGTGAGATGTGAAGACACCGCCTCTTTGGAGGAAGAGGAATTTTACTTTCCGACTCCAAATCAGGACGGCTCCATTTGATGACCCCCCACCTAGCACTGAAAAAGCAGCCATCGGGTTTTATTTTTTGAAAAGGAAACAGGAGGGTTATAAAAGTAACTCAGGCTGGGTATGGTGGCTCACACCTGTAATCCCAGCAGTTTGGGAGGCCGAGGCAGGAGGATCCTCTGAGGTCAGGAGTTCGAGACCATCCTGGCCAACATGGTGAAACCCCGCCCCTACTAAAAATACAAAAATTAGCCGGGTGTGGTGGCGTGCGCCTGTAATCCCAGCTACTCCGGAGGCTGAGGCAAGAGAATTGCTTGAACCCAGGAGGCAGAGGTTGCAGTGAGCCAAGATCACACCATTGCACTCCAGCCTGGGTGACAAAGCGAGACTCCGTCTCAAAAAAAAAAAAAAGCAACCCAACCACTGCAGATAACTGCAGAGCACAGTTAATTGCCTGAATTAAAAAGACAACTTGTTTCTCTGAAATAAATTCAAACGAAATTCTTCTAAACCATCTGTGAAGTGGGGCAGCCTGGCTTCTGCTGGCCTGTGTCCATGTTCTTTAAACACAGAGCCCTTTTGGCACTTGGAGCTGTCCCTCCCTCAGCGCCCCCACAGCCACTTCTCCCCTTACAGCCCCTCCCCAGTCCATATCCACTGGAGAAGATGCACGGAAGGGCAGGAAGGGGCTGGCTGTTTCTATCAGCGTCACTGATAGGGCCTCTGAAATACGTTGTTGTACATGCCTCCCGAAGGGGCTGGCTGTATCTATCGGCGTCACTGATAGGGCCTCTGAAATACATTGTCGTACATGCCTCCTGAAGGGGCTGGCTGTTTCTATCGGCGTCCCTGATAGGGCCTCTGAAACACGTTGTCGTACCTGCCTCCCGAAGGGGCTGGCTGTTTCCATCGGCGTCACTGACAGGGCCCCTGAAATAATACGCTGTCGTACCTGCCTCCCGGAGGGGCTGGCTGTTTCCATCGGCGTCACTGATAGGGCCCCTGAAATAATACGCTGTCGTACCTGCCTCCCGGAGGGGCTGGCT
Source organism: Homo sapiens (assembly GCF_000001405.40). NCBI lineage: Eukaryota > Metazoa > Chordata > Mammalia > Primates > Hominidae > Homo > Homo sapiens. The sequence continues at coordinate 194,629,813 of NC_000003.12, forward strand.
GTTTCCATCGGCGTCACTGATAGGGCCCCTGAAATAATACGCTGTCGTACCTGCCTCCCGAAGGGGCTGGCTGTTTCCATCGGCGTCACTGATAGGGCCCCTGAAATAATACGCTGTCGTACTGCCTCCCGAAGGGGCTGGCTGTTTCCATCGGCGTCACTGATAGGGCCCCTGAAATAGTATGCTGTCGTACCTGCCTCCAGAAGGGGCTGGCTGTTTCCATCGGCGTCACTGATAGGGTCCCTGAAATAATACGCTGTCGTACCTGCCTCCCGAAGGGGCTGGCTGTTTCCATCGGCGTCACTGATAGGGCCCCTGAAATAATACGCTGTCGTACCTGCTTCCCGAAGGGGCTGGCTGTTTCCATCGGCGTCACTGATAGGGCCCCTGAAATAATACGCTGTCGTACTGCCTCCCGAAGGGGCTGGCTGTTTCCATCGGCGTCACTGATAGGGCCCCTGAAATAGTATGCTGTCGTACCTGCCTCCAGAAGGGGCTGGCTGTTTCCATCGGCGTCACTGATAGGGCCCCTGAAATGATACGCTGTCGTACCTGCCTCCCGAAGGGGCTGGCTGTTTCCGTCGGCATCACTGATAGGGCCCCTGAAATAATACGCTGTCGTACTGCCTCCCGAAGGGGCTGGCTGTTTCCATCGGCGTCACTGATAGGGCCCCTGAAATAGTATGCTGTCGTACCTGCCTCCAGAAGGGGCTGGCTGTTTCCATCGGCGTCACTGATAGGGCCCCTGAAATGATACGCTGTCGTACCTGCCTCCCGAAGGGGCTGGCTGTTTCCATCGGCGTCACTGATAGGGCCCCTGAAATAGTATGCTGTCGTACCTGCCTCCAGAAGGGGCTGGCTGTTTCCATCGGCGTCACTGATAGGGCCCCTGAAATGATACGCTGTCGTACCTGCCTCCCGAAGGGGCTGGCTGTTTCCGTCGGCGTCACTGATGGGGCCTCTGAAATACGTTGTCGCACGTGCCTCCTGGAGGGGCTGGCTGTTTCCGTCGGCATCACTGATAGGGCCTCTGAAATAATACGCTGTCGTACCTGCCTCCCGAAGGGGCTGGCTGTTTCCGTCAGCGTCACTGATGGGGCCTCTGAAATACGTTGTCGCACATGCCTCCTGGAGGGGCTGGCTGTTTCCGTCGGCATCACTGATAGGGCCTCTGAAATAATACGCTGTTGTACCTGCCTCCCGAAGGGGCTGGCTGTTTCCGTCGGCATCACTGATAGGGCCTCTGAAATAATACGTTGTCGCACGTGCCTCCCGAAGGGGCTGGCTGTTTCTATTGGCGTCACCGATAGGGCCTCTGAAATACGTTGTCATACCTGCCTCCCGAAGGGGCTGGCTGTTTCCCTCAGCGTCACTGATAGGGCCTCTGAAATATGTTGTCGTACCTGCCTTCCGAAGGGGCTGGCTGTTTCTATCGGCGTCACTGATAGGGCCTCTGAAATACATTGTCGTACCTGCCTCCTTGCTACATTTCTCTGGAGACACCGAGACAGGGTGGCAGCGCTGGCTTCATTTCCACTCAGCAGAGGGTGGTGCTCATTCCACATCCTTAGGACGATTTAGCTGATTCTGAGCGCCTGTCCTTGGGAATGGTGGATGAGTACAGAGGGCTCTTGGCTTTCTAAACATTTCCTGACCTGCTGGCCCAAGCCTGAAGCTCACAGTGGCAACATCAACTTCAGTCTGGGCCCTGGGCTCCTAAAACCAATTGAAGACCAAGGAGTGGAGATTCTTAAATTGGAGACTCCCAGAGGCGGACCCCAATTAGAAATAATTTATATCAACCCTCCCATTTGAGAGGACAAAACTGAGGCCTCTGGTGAGAAGGTGAGTTAATGGTGGTCTTCTGGCTTCACACGCGGGGGCTTTGCTCCGTACCCTGTTGTTCTCAGCCACTTCCCCAGCTCTTGGGGCCAGGGTGCCAGCTGACCTTAACCCAGCCCACACACCACTCCGAAGACACATTCTTCTAAGAGAAAGGGGAGCAGGGGAGGTTCAGGGATGGCAAGGCCCTGAAAACAAATGGGTATGTCCAGATCCCAGGCAGGGTGAGAAGCAGAGGCTCACTCTTAACCCCTCCAAGGTTGGCAAAGTGCCTAACAGTGCTGGTCTGAGGACAACTGTGAGGAACAAAAGGATAATGCGTGTCCAGCGCCTTGTTAGTTTCCAGCCTCTGATCTGAACAGTTTAATCTCTCTTACCAGCCTGCCCCTTTCCAATAGGATCTGGGGTTTTGGTTCTTTCCTTTCACTCAGACAAGTTATTTAACCTCTCAGAACCTCAGGGTTCCCTACAGAAAGTGGGGGTAACAGCACCTACCTCCTGGTGCTGATATTGTGAGTGGCAGGCATTGAATGAGTTAATGAATGCAACACTGGGCCTACAGTAAATGTTCTAGGCGTCTTTTTATTTGTATTGCAGTACTGGGTAGTGGGGCTGCAGAATCTCTGCAATACGACCAAACGCCTTAGGAGAATATCCACTGAGTGCCTACAGGGAGACAGTTCTAACCTCTCCCAGGGGTGCTGGTCCTTTCTCCCCTGCCAGGGAATGCTTGGGCGGCACCATCCTGAGCACTGCTAGTGGATTTCCATGCCTAGGACAGAGCGGCTGAGGACCTGGAGATTCACTCTTAGAACTTAGGCTACCGTGGGCATCTGGACAAACCAGTCCAGGTGCTGGACAGACCAGGGCAAAGACAGGCCAGCTGGATCATATCACTACCTCCCTTCCCACCTAAGAGGACTTTGGGTAAACTGAGGCCAGAAACATCAAGGGACTTGCCAAGGTCCTAAGAGTTGGTGGCCTAGCTGGAGCAATACAAATGATGTTTAATGAGCATTTACTAAGTGCTTTAACGGTACTGATTCATCGAATCCTCCCATCATCCTATGAGGTATTATCTCCGGTCATAGGAGGCCCAGAGAGGTTCTGGAGCTTGCCCAGGTCACACTGCGAGTCAATGGCGAAGGGCTGACAATAGCACCCAGGGCTCGCGGTGTCCTCGGGGCCCCATCCGCTGCACCACCCAGCCTCCTCCCTTTGGCTCACAGCCCAGCTTCCCTGTGCGTGGGATCCGGAAAGAAGATCCCACTTCAGTCTACAGAGCAATGTTCCATTGGATCCTATTACTGAGCCATCTCCTTCATCCCCCTTTCCGCCCCCTCCTCTAGGTTTCCGAGAGGGAGCAGCAGGGGATTGGCGCCCGTTTCCCCGCCCGACAGCCCCCCGACCCGTGGCCCCATTACAGCGCGTGGGCGGCGATCCAGCAGGAGGAGGCGCAGATCCACAGGCCGAAGGAGATGCAGACGCGGTGGCGGGCGAAGCAGCGGTCCAGGTAGTCCCAGTCCCAGAGCGCGGGCGCGGGGCTGGGCGCCTCCCCCATGGCGCGGCTGGGCGCGCGGCGCGGGGCCGGGGACCTGGGCGCAGCCTCCCTCGCCGCGGGCAAGCCCCGAGCGCCGCCGCCCCGCGTGCCCTTCTCTGGGTTCCGTTCCGCCGCGGCGCCTCCGGCCGAGCGCACCGACCGCGGGCAGAGAAGGGCGCGCTCCCGGGCGCGGGCGGCGGCGGCGAAGGCGCCGGGGAAAAGTTTCCGGGACCGCGCGCTCCCCACCCCTCGCGCTATTGTCGGGGGTCGGCAGGGCGGAGGCCGCCCCCCAGCGGCGGGAGCCGGGAGCTGCGCGCGCACAAAGACTGCGGCCCCCGCCCCCCGCCGACCTCTTCGCGGTCACCCACCTCCAACATCCTGGCCGGAGCGGGGCGGGCGGCTGGGCTCGCGGACGGCCGAGTCCCTGCCGGTCGCTGTAAGGCACGGCGTCCCTTCCTGCGTATTGTCCACATTTCCTGAGCCAACAGCAATTAGTTGCGCTGCTGAAGCGCATGGGTGCTGGGATCCCGAGGTGAAGGGGGCGTGGTCCTGATCGCCGACAGGGCGCAGTAAAAAGGGTGGGGTGCAAGACCAGGAAGGAGGAAACAAACGTGCCGGAGAACAAATACCCCCACATCTGCCTCTCACTCTCCTTTCTGAAGCTGCCAACGGCACCCTCCGCCCCCAGGCAGTCGCCCAAGCCCTGCTCCTGGATGTCATCCTAGCCCACGGCCCCGCAGCCAAGAGCTGGTTATCTCTGCAACCGGCCGCCTCCTGTCCAGCCACACACCGCACAGTTCAAGTACACAGGGCTGTTTTTCTTGAGAGTAAACTATTATTGTAATTTTTAAATCTCCTTATTGATTTTAGTAGGTTTGTTTAAAGCAAGACATGACTTGAAAACAATATTTCTATAGAAGGAGCAGGATTGAAAAAAAGAAAAAAAATCTTTTTTAATTTTCAAAAACTACAGCTTTATTTAGATATTATTTATATGCCATAAGCATAGTCTTTTTTTTTTTTTTTTTTTTTGAGACAGAGTCTCACTCTGTTGCCCAGGCTGGAATGCAATGGTGCGATCTCAGCTCCCTGCAGCCTCCGCCTCCCAGGTTCAAGCAATTCTCCTGCCTCCGCCTCCCAAGTAGCTGGGACTACAGGTGCCCGCCACCACACCCGAGTAATTTTTGTATTTTTAGTAGAGACGGTGTTTCACCATGTTGGCCAGGCTGGTCTTAAACTCCTGACCTCGTGATCTGCCCTCCTCAGCCTCTTAAAGTGCTGGGATTACAGGTGTGAGCCACCACATCCAGCCTACATAGTACTTTTAAAATGTACAATTCTGGCCAGGCACGGTGGCTCACAACTGTAGTCCCTGCACTTTGGGAGGCTGAGGCAGGCGGATCACTTGAGGTCAGGAGCTCAAGACCGGCCTGGCCAACATGGTGAAACACTGTCTCTACTAAAAATACAAAAATTAGCCGGGCATGGTGGTGCGCGCCTGTAATCCCAGCACTTTGGGAGGCCGAGGCAGGTGGATCACTTGAGGTCAGGAGTTTGAGACCACCCTGGCCAACATGGTGAAACCCCATCTCTACTAAAAACACAAAAATTAGCCAGGCATGATGGCAGGCGCCTGTAATCCCAGCTACTCGGGAGACTGAGGCAGGAGAACTGCTTGAACCTGGGAGGCGGAGATTGCTGTGAGCTGAGATGGCGCCACTGCACTCCAGCCTGGGCGACAGAGCAAGACTCCATCTCAAAACAAAACAAAAAATAAAATGTACAATTCAGCAGTTTTTAGTGTATCCATAGCGTTGTGCAACCAACATCACTGTCTACTTTTAGAACATTTTCATCACCCCCATCTGAAAAGAACCCGGCCCACTGGCAGTTACTGTCCACTCCCCTCAACACTCGCAGCCCAGGAATCGCAAATCTACCTTCTGTCTCTATGGATTTGCCCATTTTGGACATTCCACATCAATGGAATCATCCACTATATGACCTTTCTGTGACTTTCACTTAGCATGTTTTCAAGGTTCATTCATGTTGCTGCGTGTTATCAGTACTTCATTCCTGTTTATGGCTCATCATAATACATGGTATGGGTATTTTTATACCACATTTCGTTTATCCACTCATTAGTGGGATGTTTGGATTGCTTTCACCTTTGGGCTATTATGAATAATGCTGCTCTGAACATTTGTGCACAAGTTTTTGTGTGGACACAGGTTTCATGCTCTCTTGGGTATATACCTAGGAGTGTCCTTGCTGGGATCTGTGGTAACTGTGTTTAATGTTTTGAGGAATTGCCAGACTATTTTCCAAAGTGGCTACACTATTTTAGTGGTTCACTGTGTTTTCAAAGTTATGATTTGGCTTGGTAAGGTGGCTCATGCCTGTAATCCCAGCACTCTGGGAGGCCAAGGTGGGAGGATCAGTGGAGCCCAGGAGTTGGAGACCAGCCTAGACAACATAGGGAGACCCCGGTCTCTCAAAACAAAACAAAGTTATAACCTCTCAGGAGAAATGAAATCTAATCACTAATTTGATGGTATTAGATTGGTGCAAAAGTAATTGTGGTTTTGGCTATTAAAAGTACTGGAAGCGGTAGCTCACGCCTGTAATCACAGCACTTTGGGAGGCTGAGGCGGGTGGATCACTTGAGGTCAGGAGTTCCGGACCAGCCTGGCCAACATGGTGAAACCCTGTCTCTACTAAAAATACAAAAATTAGCTGGGTGTGGTGGCAGGCACCTGTAATCCCAGCTACTTGGGAGGCGGAGGCAGGAGAATCTCTTGAACCTGGGAGGCAGAGGTTGCAGTGAGCCGAGATCACGCCACTGCACTCCAGCCTGGGCAACAGAGCAAGACTCTGTCTCAAACAAACAAACAAAACAAAACAAAACAAAAAAAGCCAGATAAAAGTACTTTGGTACAAAAGTAATTGCAGTTTTGGCCATTAAAAGTAAGCTTTGGTGCAAAAGTAATTGCGGTTTTGGCCATTAAGAGTAAGCCACTTTTTTTGGCCATTAAAAGTGGCTTACATTTAATGGCCAAAACCGCAATTACTTTTGCACCAAACTATATTAGGTGGCGCCTTTAGGAACCAGAAAGCAGGCCCTTCAACTAAATCTGCAGGCACCTTGATCTCGGACTTCCTAGCTTCCACAACTGTGAAAAACAAATCTGTGTTATTTACACGCCACTCAGTCCAAAGCATTTTGTTATAGTAGCTCAAATAGACTAAGACAGGCATTGCGTTAGGAGCTGGGAACACACTATTGAGTAAAACAGACATGGGTCCTACTTACTTGGAGCTTACAGTCCAGTAGGAGAGACAGAAATTAAGCAAGCAACTGGCGGGGCACTGTGGCTCACGCCTGTAATCCCAGCAATTCGGGGGGTGAGGCAAGTGGATCACTTGAGCTCTGGAGTTCGAGGTCAGCCTAAGTAACATGGTGAAACCCCATGTCAACAAAAACTACAAAAAATTAGCCTGGCGTGGTTGCATGCATCTGTAGTCCCAGCTACTTGGGAGGCTGAGATGGGAGGATCACTTGAGCCCTGGAGGCGAAGGTTGCAGTGAGTTGAGACTGCACCACTGCACTCCAGCCTGGGCAACAGAGCAAGACCGTGTCTCAAAAAAAAGAAATTAAGCAAGCAACTGAACAAAAAGATACAATTAAAATGGTTTTTACCAAAAAGGGCCAAAATTAAAATAATAAAACAATTAAGATGAAGTGTTATAAAATGAATGGAGGAATGAGTGAAGTGTTAAAAGAAAAAAAATACATAACCAAGTTTCTCATAGTCTATAAATACTAAGTACCCACAGGGTCTTTCTAGCTGAGCCACTGCCCACACTGTTGAAGGACCCCGTCTGAAATTCCTGCCGTGTGTTCCTGGAACTTCTGGTGTGTCCTGTGTGCTTATCAGGGGTCATCTCTGCCTTTACCTTCCTCAGATACTAACCTGTGATTGCCTGGATCCTAGCTCTCCTGGGGACATTGCCCACCTGCTGCTCACTCTCCTGCTAAAGCAGGGAAGTGCCCCACCCAGTCTTGTGTCATCCTCCCACCAGGCCCTGGGGCAGAGCTCCCTGTGCTGTGAGTTTTGTAGAGACTTGGAGAACGGCTCAGCATGAACCCTCAGAGCTGGGCCTGATTTAGAAGGTGCTTCACTCCTCCCCACCTACTCTGGGCTGGGCTTACACACCTCAGCAGTTTGTTCTTAGATTAGTGGTTAGTTCTTAACCTTTTTTTGTGACCCGTTTGAGAATCTGAAAAAACAAAAACAAAAACACCTCATCCTTGAAAAATATGAATATATGTGCACACCACACATAGTTCCTCATACAATTTAAAAAAAATTATGAACCAGCCCCTACCCACTGAAATTCAACTATGGATTCCATGGAGCCCAGACTACAAACCCCCGTTCAAGGGTTTGAGTCCTTTGCTTCGAGTCCCCTGCCTGAGCAGTTGGGGCAGCGTGGTCCATAGATCGCTGGTATCACAGCCACTCTGCCTATCAAGAACATAGACATACTAAATCCAGCTCCTGGGCACGTGTCCTTGGACTCGGCATGGATTCATTTCCGGTGGCCGCTGTAACAAATCAGCACAACTTCAGTGGATTCCCTCACAGTTCCGGAGGCCAGAAGTTAGAAATCAGTTTCACTAGGCCAAAGCCAGGGTGTCAGCAGGGCTGTACCCATTCTGGGGGCTATAGGGGGAGAATCTATCATTCCCTTGCCTCTTCCAGCTTCTGGTGGCTGCCAGCATTCCTTCCCTTAATGGCGTCACCCAGGTCGATCCATCTCTGCCTTTCGTGATCACATTGCCTTTTCCTCCGTGTGTGTCATGTCTCCCTCTGCCTCTCTCTTAGACACTTGTGATTACATTCGTGGTCTACTCAGATAATCTGCGATAATCTCCCCATCCTTAATTTAATCACAACTGGCTGGGCATGGCGGCTCACCCCTGTAATCCCAGCACTTTGGGAGGCCAGGGTGGGCGGATCACAAGGTTAAGAGATCGAGACCATCCTGGCCAACAAGGTGAAACCCCGTCTCTACTAAAAATGCAAAAATTAGCTGGGCGTGGTGGTGCGTGCCTGTAATCCCAGCTACTCGGGAGGGATTACAGCTACTGAGGCAGGAGAATTGCTTGAACCTGGGAGGCAGAGGTTGCAATGAGCCAAGCTCGTGCCACTGCACTCCAGCCTGGTGACAGAGACTCCATCTCAAGACCAAAAAAAAAAAAAAAAATTTAATCACAACCACCAAGACCCTTTTTCCATATAAGGTAACATTTGCAGTTTCCAGGGATTAGGGCCTGATATATTCAGGAACCATTGTTCAGCCTCCTACACTGCATCTCCACAAGCTTCATGACAATTCTTACAAGAAACTATGGGTTTTGGAGATGGCCCTCAGTCGGGGAGCTGCTCCCAGTCACTGGACAAGCTGGCTCACGTAAAGAAGCAATGGGAGGCTGGGTGCGATGGCTCACACCTGTAATCCTAGCATTTTGGGAGGCCGAGGCGGGTGGATCATTTGAGATCAGGAGTTCGAGACCAGCCTGGCCAACATGGTGAAACCCTGTCTCTACTAAAAATACAAAAAATAGCCAGGCATAGTGGTGGGTGCCTGTAATCCAGCTACTTGGGAGGCTGAGGCAGATCACTTGAGCCCAGGAGGCGGAGGTTACAGTGAGCAGAGATCACGCCACTGCACTCCAGCTTGGGCGACAAAACAGGACTCTTGTCTCAAAAAACAAGCAAACAAACAAACAAAACAGAAGCAATGGGAAGAGTGTGGGCTCTGGAGCCTGCTGATCTTACACTGGAATTTTCCCTCCGCATTGCAGCAGCTGTGCTGTGACTTGGGGCAAAACACTGGTCCTCTCTGCACTTGTGTGTTCCTTTCTGTAAAAGGAGGAAGGTCAGCTAATGGGGGGGAGACATGCAGCTCAGTTCTTGGTTCTCATCCCTACCTATCCTCTGTTGGGGATCTCATTGGGTCTCTGGCTTTAACTACTGTCCCTGTACCTGCACCTCCCGAATGCGCAGCTCCAGGTCCCTCCTTCTCAAACTTTAGACTCACATACGCAGCTGCCTACTTGATAACTTGACGTCTCCCCTGCATGCCTAATGCACACGTCTAAAGCCAAACTCCTGGCTCTCCCTCACAGGGCTCTTCCACCGCAATCATCCTTGCTTCAGCTGACTTGCCGTCCTGGTCCTGGGGGCCCAAGCCCCAGTGCCTGCGCCACTCTATTACAAAGACACCTCTAAAGGGTGAAGAGTGCCGTCTTTCTACCAGGCTGTGAGCTTCTTGCAGCCAGGGTTGTTTAGTTTACACTTGCATCCTCAGCTTCTAGCTCAGTGCCTGGCACATAATAAGGAAAATATTTACTGAATGAATGCACTGATTTTTTGATTTTTTTTTTTTTTGAGACTGTCTTGTTCTGTCTGTTGCCCAGGCTGGAGTGCAGGGGTGTGATCTTGGCTCACTGCAACCTCTGCCTCCTGGGATTACAGGTGCGTAACACCATGCCCGGCTAATTTTGGTATTTTTAGTAGAGACGGGGTTTCACCATGTTGGCCAGGCTAGTCTTAAACTCCTGACCTCAAGTGATCCACCCGCCTCAGCCTCCCAAAGTGCTGGGATTACAGGCGTGAGCCACCATGCCTGGCCGGATATGCTGATTTTTAAACAAGCCATAAAAATACAACATGTACTACAGCAGGGGCATCTTTAAAGTACATTGACGACACCCCGCATTGTGGGCGGGGGTGTGTGGGGGAAGGTTTCCAAGAAATAATGCATAAGCTGGGCCTTGGAGAATGTTTGCTTTTGGCAACAAGGCCATGGCAGCAGCTCTGCAGAGGCCCTTGGAGGCGGCAAGAGATGGTATAGGGAGAAAGGCAAATAGCAGAGGGAGGGCAGCACCTGCAGGAGGGGAGGCGAGACGGTCAGCGTTCGGTAGCGAGGGAGTCGGGACTTCATCCTGCCGTGAACACTTTGGACGGTATCTTCTAACTAGCTCCCTCTGGGTCATTAGAACCCTGCCCAGGTTCTCCCTGTACTTTCCACAGGGCTCTGCACGTGGTCGGCCCTCAGGAAATGAATCAGTTCCTTAACCAGGCTCCTCAGAGGTCCAGCAGCTGCCCAGGAGCTAAAGATAATGTTTTTGGCCATGGTTCAGAGTTAGCCAAAAAGAAAAACTAACAAGAGGACCGCAGCACTTGTCCTCCTGGACAGTGGGCAGTGATGTGACTGCTCAAAGGCATTTCCTGTTGGCAGAGGTGGCAGGACCTCAGGCACCGTCCTTCTGAAGGAAAGGCTGCAGCGGCCTGGGCGGCCCTACGGGAGTGGGCAGCCAATGGTGACCATAAATCCCAGCCGCCTGGCGGAGACAGGCCAGCAGCTCAACAGCTTTCTCTTCTGGGAGGGCACGTTGCTTGAATCCGGGAGAGGGAGGTTCCAGTGAGCCGAGATCATGCCACTGCACTCCAGCCGGGGCGACAGAGTGAGACTCCGTCTCAAAAAAAAAAAAAAAAAGAAAACCAGAAATACCAGAGACAGTAATTTATAAAGAAAAGAGGTTTAATTGGCTCACGGTCCTGTAGATGGTACAGGAAGCACAGCAGCTTTTGCTTCTAGGGAGGCCTCAGGAAACTTACAATCATGTTAGAAGGCGAAGGAGAAGCAGGCACATCTTATATGGCCAGAGCAGGAGGGAGACAGAGGGGAGGCACCACACACTTTGAAGCAACCAGATGTGATGAGGACTCAATATCAGGAGAACAGCACTGAGCGGGTGGTGCTAAACCGTTCGTGAGGACTCTGCCCCATAATCCCATCGCCTCCCACCAGGGGGCTTACATTTCAACATGAGACTCGGTGAGGACACAGATCCAAACCACATCAACAGTGCTTTCATGCTTTTGATTATCTTTTGTAACTATGTTATTGAACTATAATTTACATACCATACAATTCACCAACGTAAAGTGTGTAATTCAATGGTCTTAAGCATATTCAGAGTTGTGTGACCATCGCTACAGTCAATTTTAGGACATTTTTATCACTGCAAAAGAAAGACCTCAATCTTCCCATTCCTCCCATCCCGAAGCAACCACTAATCTACTTCCTCTATATGGAGATTTGCTTATTCTGGACATTTTAAATAAGTGGAATAACCAGTGAAGATGGGGGCTAGGTAGTAAATACCGCAGCTTCCCTGTCACCCGGTGGTTACATTCTACATGTTCCTTAGTGGACGTGAGCCCCCGCTGTACACTAACTGAACCCAAGTCCCTTGTTTAGAGTCGGAGGAACCCAACTAGGACACTCAGAATGGGGAATTTCTCTTTCACCTTCGTCCCAAATGTGTCTCGTGAACCATCCCTTGCAAATTTTTTTTCTTGTGATGCAGTCTCACTCTGTCGCCCAGGCTGGAGTGCAGCGGCGCAATCTCCATTCACTGCAAACTCTGCCTCCCTGGTTCAAGTGATTCTCCTGCCTCAGCCTCCCGAGTAGCTGGGATTACAGGTGCGCGCCACCACGCCTGGCTAATTTTTTTGTATTTTTAGTAGAGACGGGGTTTCTCCATGTTGGTGCGTGAGCCACTGTGCCCGGCCAGGAGTAGGATTCTCGGGCTCCCAGATGACTCCTTTTTGTCAGAGTTGGTGTTTCCAGGAGGCCCTTGGTCTTGACATGGAGACTGTTGGGTGCAGCCGTGCTCTGCAAGAGCAGGGCCCGTTCTACAGTGCTAGTGTCTTGGGACGGTTCCACAGGCAACAGGCAGCTTCTGCTCTTTTCCATCTGCACAATGCAGATGACATTTCTGTTGCAGCCCAACCTCACATATCCAGGTGCTTGTAGAGTCTACGACTTTTTTCTTTTTTATTTCTGTTGCCATGTTTTTTCCAGGGCTTCCCCGCCCCGTTCTCAGAGCTCGCAGTGGATGCAGTCACTACACCACTCCCGGGCTTGTAACCCATCACAGCCTGGACTCCTTTGGTCAAAGCCCTCACATTCTCCTAGGAAATAAGAGAAAACATTATCTGAGCTGTCAGCAGGCTATCCTTTAAGGGATATGCACAGTACTATTAGTGGATCACTTCAAGATAAAAAGGAGTCAGTCACTGGGTGAACTTCCGCCCCCCTCCCCTTCACTGGTCCTCTTTCTCCCCCCAGCATTCTGTCTTCAGTTCATCTCTTCCCCCTCCTCATTCCCTCGTCAACTTTGTTTAGTCCCATACTTTCAAATGCCATCTACAACTAGACTTAATACCAGCTGTGTTCTGGAAATTTGTCTTAATATCAAAACTTAACCTGTTTCAACCACATTAGAAATGGACTCTAAACAAATTTTAAGTTTACTTAGTAAAAAAAAAAATTAGTACCCTACGATTTGCAAGTTACTTATAATAGTAAAATATTACTCTAGAGGTTACAGTTTAGACATATGAATTATATTAAAATTATGACAAGTTTTCAGCTTTCTTGTACATAGCTTTTAGAAACCTGTAAACATTTAAAATTTCACATGAAATGTTCTGTATGACAGCTGTAGGCCCAAGAATAAACTTGCAATCTTTTTGCATGTTGGTAAATTTTCTTCCAAATACTGGTATGTACCAACTTGAAAATAATTCAAACTAGGAGCTACAAACATCTAAGTTTTATCCCAGCTTTGCAATTTAAAGCATGCCCTTGGGTAACTCAGTCTCTTTGAGCCTCAGTGTCCTCAAGGAATAATACTTGCTTGGCCTGCTTCACAGGCTCATTGTGTAAGGCATGCAGATAAAGCACGGGATAAATACAAAAACATTCTCTGGATATAGCTGATCACCCCATCCTAACCCCTGTCCTATTTTCGCTATAGTAGTCACTTAAAAACATTTTTAACCTACACTGGGTACAATTATGTGATTTAGCTCTTTTGCATGTACATTTGACCTTTAAAATACTGCCTACAAATTGTAGCTGTGATATAAGCAACTGAAGTTATCAATATTTTAAAGTGCAGAAGACATTTATGAAGTCTGTTTCTTTAGCACTTTCTATCACCAAATGTGTTGGCTCAGAGAAAAGACAACTGACTAAATGGGTGCAAATATTTGTAAATCATAAATCTGATATGGGACTTGTATCCAGAATATATAAAGAACTCTTACAACTTAATAATAGACATTTCTCTAAAGAAAATATACATGTGCCAACGAGCACATAAAATGACGCTCAGCATCACTAGTAATTAGGGAAATACTCATCAAAACTATAATGCAATACGTCACATGTATTAGGATGGCTAAAATAAAAAAAAAATGGGAAATAATAAACATTGACAAGGATGAGGAGACAATTAGAAACCTCCTACATCACTGGGAGTAATGTAAAACAGCACAGCCACGTTTGGAAAGTTTGGCAATACCTCAAATGTTAAACATGGAGTTGCAATACAACCCAGCAACCCCACGCCGAGGTATATACTCAAGAGAGACGAAATCCATGTCTCCACAAAAACCTGTACACAAGTGTTCATTACACCATTATTCATAGTAGCCAAAAAGTGGAAACAACCCAAACGTCCCTCAAATGATAAATAGATAAACAAAATGTGGCATATCTATACAATGAAACATTATTCGGTAATAAAAAGGACTGAAATACTGACACAGGCTACAACATGGATGAATGTTTAAGATACCACGCTAAATGAAAGAAGCCTGTCACGAAGAGCACACAGTATGATTCCAGTCACGTGAAGTCTCCAGAACAGGCAAATCTGTTCATAAAGATTGATTATTGGTTGGCAGGGGCTGGGGGAAAAAAGGGGACAGGCAGTAACTGCTAATAAATAAGGTTTCGGCCGGGCGCGGTGGCTCACGCCTGTAATCCCAGCACTTTGGGAGGCCGAGGAGGGTGGATCATGAGGTCAGGAGATCGAGACCATCCTGGCTAACAAGGTGAAACCCCGTCTCTACTAAAAATACAGAAAATTAGCCGGGCGTGGTGGCGGGCGCCTGTAGTCCCAGCTACTCGGGAGGCTGAGGCAGGAGAATGGCGTGAACCCGGGAAGCGGAGCTTGCAGTGAGCCAAGATTGCGCCACTGCAGTCCGCAGTCCGGCCTGGGCGACAGAGCGAGACTCCGTCTCAAAAAAAAAAAATAAAAATAAATAAATAAATAAATAAATAAATAAATAAATAAATAAGGTTTCTTTTGGGAATTATTAAACCCTTTTTGGAATTATTAAACCCTTTTTGGGGTTAATAAAATGTGTTTATGGCATGTGATACTCAATAAAGCTGTTATAAAAAGAGTGTTGGATCAGAAGTTTAAGAAAAGCTTTAAAACTTACTTGATGGAAAAAAGTTTTGTCAACGATATTTTCAATCTGCTTTGCTTTTTTATTTCTGCCTAGCTGCATTTTTATTTCATCACTGTTCATTTTGTTCTCTAGGAGTCGCTGGTGTTGATGCTGAAAAGTTACAGGATCTCTTCCAGGAGGAGGATGGCAGTACAGCAGCTTACCCTACAAAGACAACATGAATGACAACAGTGCAGCCTAAGTGCCATCTGTGGCCTCAGAGGAGACAGCTCCACCCAGTCACACTCTGATGGAGCTTTCTGCCTTCTGGTTAAGTTAGCTGAGTTGAGTTTTGGTCTACTGCAGCTGAAGAGTCCTTTTTCTAATACATCAATGGTCAAAGTGTTCTAGAGACCTAGCTCTTCCCATGGCGCCCCAGACTAGGATGAAATCTCTTTCTTCTTTTCTCGTTTGCATTCCCACTCAAGTATTCTTCAGTATACGGACATGATCATACTTATGGTGAATATTTTCCAAAACAAAACTCAAGACATAACTGGACAGTTACGGTAATGCCGGGTTAGACTGTTAAAGTCAGGAGAGTTCCTCGACTCCTGTATGTGGGGTTGCAGTTGCTCACTGGGTGCAAGTCTGCCTCTTTCCATCATAAATGATCTGAAGGCTGTGACTATTTTTACCTCATCTTTACATCCTCCACAGTAAGTGGTAAACGAATACATGACTTATCCATACCAATAGCATGAACTGCTTTCTTCCTGAACTGAAGGCAAGCCCATATGGTTGCCACTGAGCTCCAAGAGCTCCACCGATGTGGTCTTGAGAAGAGGAGGAAATAAAGCCAAATCCTCACAACTGGTTATTAACAGGGCCCTGTAATGCTTATTTGTGGAAAGAAACTTAATAGATAACAATTACTGGGGGCTCATTATGTGCCAGGCATTGAGCTTAGTGCTACACACACACACACACACACACACACACACACACAGACAGACACACACACACACACACACACACACACACACACAGACAGACACACACACACACACACACACACACACACACACACACACACACACAGAGTTTTCATTTATTTCCCATAATAATCTCATGAGATAGGCCCTGTTCATCTCCATTTTACTATGGGGAAACCCCCAAATAGCATGTTCTCATTTGAAAAGGAGAAATAGTAATCTCACAGACTTGTTACATATTTGTACTGAGAAGACGCACGTAAAACAGAACTATTTCTAGCAGGGTTAGCTTTCAAGAAATGTTAGCTGTTATCGTTACTAGGCAAATATAGAGATAGGCATATAAACAGCTATACTACAAAGAAGACTGTGACAATAGTTGCAATCATAACAAGCAAAGGGCTGTAGGAGACAAAAAAAGCCAGATGCATATATTGGTGATTTTCACTCATAATAGGTGTTCAGAGATCTCCATCTTTTGTAATGTCTATAATCCATATAATGTTAACTACCCTACATCAAGAACACAACTCCAGTTTCAATGAAAAAATATTTCCTTTATAATCGAACAGGTTACCATTATCTAAGAACGCAGAATGTGGAAAAGACTTGTGTATTGGAGAGCATGAGAGGCAGGGTTCACTTACACTGACATAGTCCTTCAGGATGTAGCGCGCAGATCGAGGCTGGTCTGGCTGTCCATGCGCTGTCATGAATCCTCGCATGTCTGTGGAGAGAAAAGAATTTTGCAAAATCTTAGATGACAGAATATCACAACAAAGACAACTGAGGTGATGTAGCTTCTATTACTAAGCATTCTTACTCTTGGATTTTAAAAAATTAGGTATCATTGTAGAATATATATTGTTTAGCATTAAAAACACTAGATAATCCAGGAGAATATTTACTTATATCTGATATCCTAAAAATGCCACCTAGCACCACGCTATGAAAGACAAATTCGATTTCTCTCTACTCCAGTTATTTCTTCTCTTTATTTTATTTTTATTTTATTTTTTGTTGAGATGGAGTCTCGTTCTGTTGCCCAGGCTGGAGTGCAGAGGCACAATCTTGGCTCACTGCAACCTCCACCTCCCAGGTTCAAGCAATTCTGATGCCTCAGCCTCCCAAGTACCTGGGATTACAGGCGCATGCCACCACGCCTGGCTACTTTTTGTATTTTTAGTAGAGATGGGGTTTCACCACGTTGTTCAGGCTGGTCTTGAACTCCTGACCTCAGGTGATCCACCCACTTCGGCCTCCCAAAGTGCTGGGATTACAAGCGTGAGGCACTACACCCAGCCTCCTTATTTTAAACATTTATTCATGGAGGCTACCTGTAGGAGAATGCTACGCTATCAATACTACTTGCAAAACAGAAAGCAACAGAGAAGTTTTCTTACTGAATGATGTACCTACATTTTTTTCCCCAGTAAGATCCCTTTAATACTAACTCAATTAGAAAAGCAGCGAAGCATGGTGGTTAAGAACACGGCTTCAGCAGACAGGCTGCGTTCAAAACTCAGTTCCCTCACATACTAGCTGTCGACTGGCTTTTCCAGTTTCGAAGAAAATAGTTAGAATCCTAATTTACACAATATACAACAATAAATTTCGTCAGATTAAAAATCTAAATGTTAAAAAAGTAAGTAAATATTACAGGAAGATAGTTTTATCTTTTTGGGAGGGAGAAGACCTTCCCAAGTAAAACACCAAACCCAGTCAAACCAAAAAGGAAAAATATAGTCTATTAAAATTGTCAACTTCTTTGGGGCCAAAGAAACCATAAATTAACATTGGAAAAAATGTGTAGCACATATAACAAAGAACTTTTACAAATCATTAAGACAGAACCATGTATAGGAAAATGTGATTCCCAGAAGAAAAATAAATGGTCACAAAACATTTGGAAAGATGCTCAACTTCACTAGTATTTAAAGAAATACAAAGTAAAATGAGAGTAATCTGGCAATATCTTTGAAAATTTACTGTCAGAGATTTTCTTCTATATGGACTTGCAGATAGTGAACTTAGAAATTGTACGTGTGGTCATTTGCTTTTACAAACTGGCTTTTTCCTTACTCTGATTTTATCAGGCAGCATTAGATGAAACATCTTAAAAGACTCACATTATTTTCAGTTGTATCGGAAGTACAATCAAACTGGAAGTTTGGTGGAAGTCCACCTTTCTGCATTTTGCAGGCTAACATCCTGCAGGGAGATCTCACCCAGGCTATTCCACTGACCAGCCACCTCACCTTGGGTCAGCTCAGGCTCTGAGTTCGGATGATTACTCTTAAAAGCAGGGGCTAGGAGGTGAGGTGATCTTTAAGGTCTTTTCTTGTTCTATGAATCTGTAATTAGAATAGTCTTACCACAAGTGTTTAGTATTTATCCTCTTTAGAGTCTCTAAGTTCAAGGTTTAAGTGTGATTCATATCAAATCACCTTTCACCTTTCTCTGCCAGTAAATACTCAAATAAGCTGAACTCCTTCCCAACCAGCAGCAATCCCTGTAAAGGCAAGTCACCCACGCACGGAAATGTTTCCCACACTGCTATTTTTTTTTTTTTTTTTTTTTTTAGGTAGACACAAGGTTCTCCAGGCCACCTTTAAAGTTTACATTTAAGGCAAGAAATCATAGGTTCCCACGTGGAATTGGGATAAAACACAGAGGTGGGAGAGCTGTGGACTCATCTTAATGTCAAATAAGTTTACAGGGGCTGATGGGAGAGGAAGGAGGATGCTTTGTGCCCCTATCCTAACCAAGCTCCACTCTGTCCCCGTCTCTGAGGGGTCTCCCTTCTGGTGCTCCCCTCCTAACTCTCCTGCCTCGCTGTGGCGTGCGGATTCATTTTCTTCCACACATCCGCTTTCTTCTTGTTTGGGAGACGACTCCAGAAAGAGCCAACACAGCCTACGATGAGAACCCCTGTGCTGCACGTGGGTACCATCAAAGCAGCAAACGTCCTAAAAGCTTTTTGCACTTTAGGTTACTTTGTAGGCAAGGCCCACAGAGACGAAAGATGGCTTGAAAAATGCTGAAGAAATATTATAAATGTGTATCTTTGCAGAACAGCAATTCTAGTACTATTACTATTCTTATTTCTATTCATTAGGTATACTGTTACTTTTGTTCACATTTTCTGATGAATCACAACTTACATCCATAAGCTGTCAACAGTTCTTCCGATGTTGGAGGTCGGTGGGGATCTTCATCCTCTCTAGGCGTTATGATGTTAATGCCATAGGTAGCTTCTAAAACATGTCTTGGAATATTCTGGCAAACGTAGCTTGTCAGGGAATCCATTCTCTTGAACGGACTCCCTCCTCCCCATGGCATACAAATCGTGCCTCAAAGAACATGGCACTTCATTCCGCGTGTGACAAACACTCTCTCCTCTCCAAAGGAAGAGGATAGTTTTTGATTAATCTAAAAAGACTCAGTTGTTTTTTCCCTTTTAAACAAGGCCTTAAGCTCCCACGACTTTTCCATATGAATTCATTTAAAATAGTAATTTAAAATATATCTGAAACAGACTTTAAAGATGACACATTTTTACCCTGAAAAGATTACGCATTTGTGATTCTAATTTAGAGATAAAGCAAGGGGAGTCTCTGTTTCTAATGCCTACAGTTAGGCAGGATTACTTTTCCTCCTTTGTCTCATCTCCCATAGTTTGTCCAAATTTTCCTTAAGCCACTAACAATATTCTACCTTGTACTAGAGTTATTCAAGTACATGCCTCATGTGCCCCAACAGACTGATGCTTCGTAAAGGGCAGGAGCCATCTCTATTTATGCCCTATCCTCCACAGCACCTAACCTAAGGCTACCTGCAATAAATGATTCATGTCTCACTATTAATTTACAGAGAAACTTAAAAGGCCAGGCGTGGTGGCTCACGCCTGTAATCCCAGCATTTTGGGAGGTCGAGGCAGGCAGATTATCTGAGGTCAAGAGTTTGAGACCAGCCTGGCCAACATGGTGAAACCCCATCTCTACCAAAAAAAAAAAAAAAAAATTAACTGGGCATGGTGGTACATGCCTGTTAATCCCAGCTACTCGGGAGGCTGAGGCAGGAGAATTGCTTGAACCCAGGAGGTGGAGGTTGCAGTGAGCAGAGATTGCACCACTGTACTCCAGCCTGGGTGACAGAGCGAGACTCCATCTCAAAAACAAAAAAAAAAGCTATACACTTTTTCATATATATGTATCTATGAATAAGCTGTGGCCTTAAGTGTAGTTATGAAGGGAATTTTACTCTACTTACAAGCCAGCGGATTAGTGTGCCAATTTCATGAAGTCTCCTATTTTCTGCTAGTATCTACAAAACAATAATAGACTAACTTATTAGCTTATAAGTAGAGTAAAATCTCAGACCTTGCAGTTTTTTTTTTCTTTCATTTTCTTTTTTCTTAAAGGCAAGAGTCTCGCTTTGTGGCCCAGGCTGGAGGGCAGTGGCACCATCTCAGCTCACTGCAACCTCCGCCTCCCAGGTTCAAGAGATTATCGTGCCTCAGCCTCCCGAGTAGCTGGGACTACAGGTGTGCACCACCACGCCCAGCTAATTTTTGTATTTTTAGTAGAGACAGGGTTTCGCCATGTTGGCCAGGCTGGTCTCAAAACCTGGCCTTAAGTGATCCGCCTGCCACAGCCTCCCAAAGTGTTGGGGTTACAGGCATGAACCACCACACCTGGCCCCTGCATAGTTCTTAACAAATCCATCTTTGAGTCTTTTTTCCATGCTGGGCACTGTCCTAGATGCTTTATGTAAGTTAATTCATTATGCTGCTGAGAGGTAGCAGAGTTCCTAATTTACTGCTTACTAGCTATAAGAGCTTAGATAAATTATTTAACTTCTCTGTGCCTCAGTTTCCTCAAGTTTGAGGAAATGGGAATAACAGCAGTATCTGCCTTAAGCGTTGCTTTTTGAGGACTAAAAGGTATTTGGTAAGGGTTTAGAAAAGCACATAGCAAGTATTCAATATATGTTAGCTATACTGATTAAATATAATCAACCGTGAGATAGATTTTCCCCCACTTAGAGAAAAGGAAAGTATTTGGGAAGGTTAAGCAAGTTTTCCAAGGTCATTCAAACGGTTACATGGCATTGTTAAATAGGTTTGCAACTTGGAACTGAGTATCTGAAACCTGGATTCTCCCATTTCTTCAAGGCTACACTGCTGAAATCAGGAAATGAGGTTCTATTCTGAAGTTCTCATGCTATCTCACAGTATAAACTTGTGCAGATCACTAGTATTTTCAATTCTTCATCAAATCTGAATCCCTCAAATGCCCAAAATAAACCTGAAGCCCTAATATGCACGTAATAACTAGAGTGTTTCCAAAGCAGAAAGGATATTAGTGATACAGGAGGAACATGATCTCTCATCTGATCAATTGGGAGGATTCCGCTGCAAGTCATTTCTGCCTTGGTAGACACAAAAGATGGCATCACCAAGCCAGGACAGTCACACAGGCAGAGGCCAGGCTCCACATAGAGAGTCTGGAAGACAAGCAAGAGGTTTGAGCTGGGTATACAACAGATAAAAGGAAGAAAGAGCTGCATGCAAGTGGCAAAGCACCACAGAAATACCTGAAAGTGCTTTGTGTGACCAGGTGTGGCAGACACAGATACTTTCTTGTTGCCCATGATGGTGTTGATTGTTGAACTCTTACCAACATTAGGGTAGCCCACCTAGAAGAGACTCAGAAGTTACCAAACAGTAAAACAGTACATCTATCAAAAGACTCAAAGATATGACATAGATGGTGGCAAGACTAGCATAAGCATCTGGTTACTTTAGAAAATTATTTGAAATCCATGCTGTGTTTGTTGAGACATCTTTTTTCTCCTGTGGTGTGGGTATATTTATTCAGACACATCTCCAGTGACAAATGGCCAAGTTATGCACATTTTAATATTATATGTTTTGCTGTTAACAGCAGATGCTACAGAAAATTTCATCCCCTTGTTCCCAGCCTTCCCTCACTGCCCCATCTACAGACAGTGGTTTCCATCGCATCTTCCACACTGGGTGAGGCTGATCGGATGGACATTTGAATAATCACAACACACAATTATTTTTAATTTTCAGTCACGTTTTAGTTAAAGCCAAGTGGAATGTCTGGCATGTGGCAGGTGATCAATAAGTGTCTGCAGAATTTCTAGAGTAAGAAATTCAGAAAATGAGGGAGGATGCTCAGTTTTTCCATAAATGTGAGAAAACTTGTAGAGAAGCTGAACTTTCTGATACAAATTTTTAGCAACAATATAGAGAATGAAGCTTTAAAGCTCAGAGACATTAAGCAACTTTCCCCGTGTTCCTAACAAGTTAGTTCTACTGCTGAATTGGGAATTACACCTAGGTCTGTCTGATTCCACAGACAGCTCTTTTAACTACTGCACTAAAATAAGATGCTAATCTACTGTAGTCATTTTAAACAGGCATTTTGGGGCAGGGGGTTGGGGCAGAGAGAAGGGGGCTCAAAACTAACTAGGATTAGCTACACTTAGCATGTAACTGAAAAGCTGGGAGACTTTAAACATGCCATGACCTCCTTTCCCTCACTGTTATATTCTGGATAGGTCTTTATAATCAATACCTTCTCTAACATCTCACATCTCCTTAGCTAAGGATGGGGCCATCTAGAGCCATGTCGTAGCCCCTCGGGGTTTGCGCACTTCCGCAGCCACTTCTGGAATTAGGGTATGTAAGGCTGGGGATGGGATCTGCTTTCCCCTATCTACTATGCAGTGTTTATGCAACTAATGCATTTGTCATATTTCGTCCAGCCCCAAGATGCTGGGATTCTCCCTATTAAGCATCTGGAACATTTACAGCATAAGCTGGCAAGGATCACAGGGTGCCCAAAGAACACTGGGCTGAAGTCTGAAGACAACATTAACATCTCTCTCATTCTGCTGTCTTGGTACTTCACACGGCAGGAAAAGCTGAACTGAAAGGAGACTGGAGAATACATTCAATGTGAATAGGTATGTTACCAACACAGGCCTTGAGGAAGTTGATTCCTTTGAGTTGGGCTCTGTCTATCCCACTGCCTAATCCCGTGATGCCAGTGGGCAACAAGAGGGCAATGTTCCCTACGATGCCGGAAGCCTGGTTGGTCTTTGGGGTCGTGCAGCTACTGAAAAATGGGGATTAAAGACAATCACGTGGTAACAATGTTATGACATATGTCATCTTACCAGTCCGACCGTAAGTTGCCCATCTTTCACCTTTCTCCCAGTGTGTAGCTCCTTAAAGAGCTCCAGTAACTCCTGCTTGGATACCAGATGGCTAAAATTGTGTATCTGCCTCTTCTGTGGGGTTTTCCTGCTCCGAGCCTCAGAATCTGCAGTAGAGCTTTCCTTCCAGTCCTGGCTGCAGTCCTCTTCCTTGGGACCGTCTTCTTCTGAGCACGTCTGCCAGTCGTCTTCCTCCTCCTCTGGACAGTCCTCATACTCACTGTCATCTTCATCCGTTGTGGGATTTTCACTAAGTGAAGGAGAATCCCTAGCTGGGAGATGTTCGGATTCACTGTGGGAAATTTCAGCCTGGTCGAAACTGGAATGTCCAAACTTGGTTGTGTTGCTTTGTCTATCATCTCTGTTTGCCTCTTCCTGACAAAATAATAGAAACGCTCAGAAGTATATAACTGCAGTTTCCACTCTAGTAAAAATACTTAATGAGTTGTAAGATGGACAGAGGATGGCTGGGCGTGGTGGCTCAAGCCTGTAATCCCAGCACTTTGGGAGGCCAAGGTGCGCAGATCATTTGAGGTCAGGAGTTTGAGACCACGCTGACCAACATGGTGAAACCCCGCCTCTACTAAAAATACAAAAATTAGCCAGGCGTGGTGGTGCACACCTGTAATCCCAGCTACTTGGGAGGCTGAAGCAGGAGAACTGCTTGAACCTGAGAGGCGGAGGGTGCAGTGAGCCGAGATGGTGCCACTGCACTCCAGTCTGGGCAACAGACAAGGCTCTGTCTCACAAAAAAAAAAAAAAGATGAACAGGGGACAAGCAAAGTTCGACGGAGATGGAAAGGTGAACACAGGGAGGAGACAACGAAAGCCTTTCAGTTCAGTGCCGTGACAGACAACCATCGAGGGTGGCGCCCTCCTGGAGGGGAGAATTGGACCTTCCCTTCACTTTTTACTTTATATGTTTCTGTACTATTTGAACTCTGTACAAAGAACATGTATTACTTTTGTAATTTAAAATAACTCTAGGCCGGGTGCTACGGCTCACGCCTGTAATCCCAGCGCTTGGGTGGCGGAGGTGGGAGGATCGCTCAAGGCCAGGAATTCAAAACCAGTCTGGGCAACACAGCAAGACTGGGTGTCTACAAAAACAAACAGAAAACCACCACCACAACAACAACAACAAAACTCTTCAAAGACAGCAAGGGGAAAAGCTTATGTTAAACTGAACTCTTGACAGTACGTTATTTTGCAATGGGCTGCATGATAAAACAAAGCATTTCTCAGGAACAACAACACATTTAACATACTCCTCTCTGCACAAAGCAAGGGCAGACTTTGCCATTTGCAGTTCATTTTACATTTGTATTTTTAAAGACGGTGGTTGGCATGTTTAAAGAAATCTGCTCTTCTCTCATAATTGCTTTTAGAAGTCAAAGCACCATGGAGCACACACAGATCCCTGTGTGTGAAATGTGGCAGCAAAACTCAACTCCACATGTGGAAATTATTTACTGATGAAAGATTCCCTTTGGAAAGTGAAAGGTACAAATCATTTTCTACTCAAGGGTGTGTTAATTCTTCTGAATCCCTCTTGACAACAAAGCAGAAATAAGGGTGAATTTGTCGGGACTTGAAAGTGATGGAAACCTGGTATCATTTCCAAGTAGCTTTGTTAGAATGATTAACAGTCACAGAAGGGGACACGATGAACTCAAACATGTATCCTAAATCTTAAGAAAGCAGAAATAAAAACAAAATGTCAGGAAAAATAGGTATGATTTAACAATCAAGCCTGGCAACTCAAAAAGAACCCTGGCTTATGAGAGAAATATAGAACTGGAAGCAATTTCTATGGTAAATGAGCAGCGAAGGTAAAGAAGTCAGTGTCGTCACTGTGGGCTCTTTTGAGTCATTTTCAAATATGAAAGTAGCATAAAAACAAGAATGTGAACTGAACATGAATGTGTAGTAGAAAAACTACAGCGGGGAGCAGTTCAGCTTCAGGAAAAGTACTAAAGACAATCAAAGGACTTTGCCGTAATTATGTTAAAAATTAAAAGAAAGAAGGAAAAAGTCAAGCTTTCGGGGAACACAGTGCACTTTCAAGGTGACCAAAGGAAACCAGAGATACTCAACTCAGAATTGGCCTGTGTCTTTTGAAAAATGTCACATTTTTTCAGAACATTCACGTTTTTCAAACAACTGAAGTTGAACAACTATAGAAGATGACCCAAACTTCCAGGCAAGAAAACAGTGAATATCAGGCTACTTCTAATACATTCATGTTTGATACCCAAATTACAGATATTAGTATCAAGTTACAAGTAAGACTTCACAACCTGAGAAATCATGGAAAACAGCAGAGTCCAGAAAACTTGGGAGAAGCAAATGGCGCCTCACTCTTAAAAAGGAGGAAAGAATATCTTCCATAAACTATACACTGTTAATCCAGACACTGACATTAAAACAATTCTACAGGTGACCTGGTGAGCCCTAAAAATAAGACAGTCATCAACAGGAGGCAGTGAGTTCCCTGAAAACTGATCATGCAAAAAATTTCATTTCCCTTTGTTATCTTGGTTAGTAAATCAAGAAGGCCACAGATGCAGAAACTAATCTCTTCCATTTTTGATAGGGTTATTGCATCAGGGCAGAGCAATATAATGATAAGTATCTATTTTAAAACTTCACCAAGACATTGACTTCCAGGAAAGACTGGAAACAATAGAAATAATGGTTTAACAGGGCAAACTATTCTTCTGCCTAAGAATGGTAAGTATCTATACTTACTGCCGAGAAGACTAAATGAGTAAAATATGTAAAGTGTTTAGAATAGTGGTGTCTGGTAAAGAATATGTTTTTATTAACTGATTAATTTTATGGGTTAGTTTTAATTATAGTAATAATTATTATTGGTATATTCTTGTGAATATATCTATATTCACATAAAAACGCTTGGCATAAGTCAATCCTAAGCCAAAAGAACAAAGCTGGAGGCATCACGCTACCTGACTTCAAACTATACTACAAGGCTACAGTAACCAAAACAGCATGGTACTGGTACCAAAACAGAGATATAGACCAATGGAACAGAACAGAGCCCTCAGAAATAATGCCACACATCTACAATTATCTGATCTTTGACAAACCTGACAAAAACAAGCAATGGGGAAAGGATTCCCTATTTAATATATGGTGCTGGGAAAACTGGCTAGCCATATGTAGAAAGCTGAAACTGGATCCCTCCCTTACACCTTACACAAAAATTAATTCACGATGGATTAAAGACTTACATGTTAGACCTAAAACCATAAAAACCCTAGAAGAAAACCTAGGCAATACCATTCAGGACACAGGCATGGGCAAGGACTTCATGTCTAAAACACCAAAAGCAATGGCAACAAAAGCCAAAATTGACAAATGGGATCTAATTAAACTAAAGAGCTTCTGCACAGCAAAAGAAACCACCATCAGAGTGAACAGGCAACCTACAGAATGGGAGAAAATTTTTGCAACCTACTCATCTGACAAAGGGCTAATATCCAGAATCTACAAAGAACTCCAACAAATTTACAAGAAAAAAACAACCCCATCAAAAAGCGGGTGAAGGATATGAACAGACACTTCTCAAAAGAAGACATTTATGCAGCCAAAAAACATGTGAAAAAATGCTCATCATCACTGGCCATCAGAGACATGCAAATCAAAACCACAATGAGATACCATCTCACACCAGTTAGAATGGCGATCATTAAAAAGTCAGGAAACAACAGGTGCTGGAGAGGATGTGGAGAAATAGGAAAACTTTTACACTGTTGGTGGGACTGTAAACTAGTTCAACCCTTGTGGAAGTCAGTGTGGCAATTCCTCAGGGATCTAGAACTAGAAATACCATTTGACCCAGCCATCCCATTACTGGGTATATACCCAAAGGATTATAAATCATGCTGCTATAAAGACACATGCACACGTATGTTTATTGCAGCACTATTCACAATAGCAAAGACTTGGAAACAACCCAAATGTCCAACAATGATAGACTGGATTAAGAAAATGTGGCACATATACACCATGGAATACTATGCAGCCATAAAAAATGATGAGTTCATGTCCTTTGTAGGGACGTGGATGAAGCTGGAAACCATCATTCTCAGCAAACTATTGCAAGGACAAAAAACCAAACACCGCATATTCTCACTCATAGGTGGGAATTGAACGATGAGAACACATGGATACAGGAACAGGAACATCACACGCCGGGGACTGTTGTGGGGTCGGGGGAGAGGGGAGGGATAACATTAGGAGATATACCTAATGCTAAATGACAAGTTAATGGGTGCAGCACACCAACATGGCACATGTATATATACGTAACAAACCTGCACATTGTGCACATGTACCCTAAAACTTAAAGTATAATAATAGTAAAATTAAAAAGAAAAAAAAGGCAACCTTAAAAAAAAAAAAAAACGCTTGGCATAGAGTGCTGCTAGTAAGTCCACAAAAGATCACAGAGCTGTATCCTTGGACCTAGCCTGTTCAACGATGTTATCAATGACACAAAAATTCACAGTTAGAAGGCAAGGAAATGCTAACTGCACACTCTAAAATGAACTCTACCTTGGTACTAAACCATTAACATATTTAAAAGGAACAGTACTCTCCTAAGTTGAGGTAAAACAGAACAAATATCTTTCCATATAAAGATGGGATGAGGTTTGCTTAGTAAGTTTTTTTTTTTTTTTTTTTGATATTTGAGGGATTCGGTTGCTCACAGGTTTAATGAGCCAAGAGCAAACAGCTTCTGAAAGGGGATGAACTAACAGAAACTGAATTAATGTGACTATCCTGATCACAAGAAATATGAATGCTGTGTATACGCCCTAGGCAAATACCACCTGGAATAACGTATTCAATTAGGTGTGGCTAGTTTTGCCTGTGGTCCTGACGCAAGAAGACAGGCACCCAGGATGGGTGTCCCGGAGCTGGTGTCTATGAGGAATATGAAAGCTGAAAATGCACAGCTGCAGGAGAGAACCGAAGGGACAAAGAGTCCTCAGATCAAAGGGTAGGGTGGCTGACTTCGTTTCACTGAATGGAAGAACTTTCTACATTTAGAGGTAAAAAGAAACGAGTTACCTGGTCTCAAGCATCCTGTCGCTTAAAATAGTCAAAGAGAAATATGCAACTTTGACAGGGAAGTGGAGGAAGAAACTCCTTCACATAGTTAGAGGTGAGAGCTTATATACTGAGCTCATGGAGGGGAGGGTGTTGTATTCATAACCCAGCTCAACACACACTCCACGGTCAACAGATGCCTGATAAACAGAGACGGGAGAAAAGGACAGGGAAAAAGACAGTACTTCCTAAGTCTCTCCATCTCTACGATTCTAATTACTAATTTCTTTTCATAGCTGTTGTTATTATTATTATTTTGAGACAGAGTTTCGCTCTTGTTGCCCAGGCTGGAGTGCACTGGCATGATCTCGGTTCACTACAACCTCCGCCTCCCAGGTTCAGCCGATTCTCCTGCCTCAGCCTCCCGAGTAGCTGGGATTACAGGCACCCGCCACCATGCCCGGCTAATGTTGTATTTTCAGTAGAGATGGGGTTTCTCCATGTTGGTAGGGCTGGTCTCGAACTCCCGACCTCAGGTGATCTGCCCCTCTCGGCTTCCCAAAGTGCTGGGATTACAGGAGTGAGCCACGGCACCTGGCCCTCTTATAGATATTATTTTATTCAAAAGTAAAAATAAAGCCCAAACTACTTTTGCAAAATTTGGGCTAAAAGATAAAATATGTGGTATATCCTAATTTAGGGTTACTTAGTTTCTCTGTTTTCAAAACAAAGTCAAAAGAGATTCTAATCAAGTCCTGAGAACTGACTACATCCTTCAGTTGTACTCTTGTGTTCTGACTTCTCTTAAAAGCAGTTACAGGGTCATTGTGGAACTTCCTATACAATTTCCTGTCTACAACCTTTTAAAAAAATTTAAAAATACAGCTAATATCAGTGTGTAACAACACTGGAGAGGTCAGACTGTCCAACAACCACAGAGAAAGTAACTTTGTGATTCACTTTCTATAGGTCATCCTAATCCAGCACACAGAGGAAAAACTCTAATTCCCACAGATTTTCCATAAGAATAAACAAAACACAAACGAAGCACATTAACAAGAAATCAAAATTCCCTCTTTGAAAGCCAACCTAAAATGTCCCTCAGGTTACCTCAGAGTCACCATTCAGGGGAATGGCTCCGGCCAAAGCTGACCAGAAAATAACCTTCACATCTTCTTTTTCGAAGTACATGGCCCAGGCACTCCGCTGCTCAGCAGTCAGCAAGTCTGCCTTGTTGATCAGAATGACGTTCTCCTTATTGGCATCCATTTCTTTCACATAACATTCCTAAGCAAGACAAAGAGATTTAGAAAGACCTCTTCAAACAAGTAAAAAAATGAGGCTAATTATATTAAAGATCCCAATACAAGTTTTTACTGCCCCTAGTTTTAAATCATTTCCTAATTTAAACATTTTTAATCATGACACATTATACTAATCCTTTCAGTAAGCTTTGAAAAGAAGTTCCACCATTAATATTTTTGTTATGCACCAGTGGGTTTAAAAATAATCTGGGCCAGGCATGGGGGCTCACGCCTGTAATTCCAGCACTTTGGGAGGCGGAGGAGGGAGGATTGCTTGAGCCCAGGAGTTCGAGACCAGCCTGGGCAACATGACAAGATCCTGTCTCTACAAAAAATTAGATCTATAAGATAGTAATAAATAAATAAATAATATGTATTACAGTTCTCAAAAAGAAATATGAATACCTCACATATTATACAATGTTTTGTTAACTAACCCAAAGCTGTATTACATTATTTCATGGGACTCTCACATGTTAGTTATCAGCCCCTGTGGTGTTTCATAAACTTAGTTCACTTGTAAAATACCACAGGGAGTCATAACTAAAGTGTGAGAAGACAGAACCTTATGGGATGAATTAAAAAGTGAAGTGACCGGCAATATGCTAAAATAAATAAAATGCTATTTCAACTGGTGTTCCCTGACAAATGGGAAACCGGCAAATGCCTTAAGTGGCTTCTAAACTAAAAGCTAGAAAGCTCATTTAAGTGTCTGTGCCTTCCTGCAGATGGACACCATTGTTTGAGAAAACATCTGTCTCAACAGTGGCGTTCTGCAAGCTCCTGGCCTTGGAAGGAGGGAAGGCCTCACTAAACGAAGCCAGAGAGGGCAGAATGTATGCCTACAGTCATTGCTGAGGGATGCGGTGCTGGCACTGCTACTCAAAGGACTGATGTTTGAATTTTGTCAAACTTGACTTACCAAATCCTCACATCTAAACAGGAGTGGGTTTCGAGCATCTACTATCTGGACCACAATATCACTGAAAAACAAACACGAGATAGACCAATCACCGTGAAGTGAAAGGGATTTTACTAACCACATAATAATGGCCAGAGTAGCAAACCCTGGCAATATATTAAGCACTGGACATATATTAACTTTTTAAGGTATAATTATTCCCGGTTTATATATGAGTGACTTAAGGCTCAGAGCAGTTAAGTAACTTGCCCAAGGCCACCAGCTAGTAAGTAACACAGCCAGAATGGGAGCCCAGGCAGCCTGGACCAGAGGTGATGCTCTTAATCATAACATGCTATTGCTCTCATACAGCCTAGAGGGGTTCGGATGATGTTTCATTGCTAAGACATCCACCGTACTTCTATTAAACTGTCCTGGTGAGATAAAAGAGTATTCCAAACACTTCACTCCACGGCAAAGTCTACTAAATATTCAATCCCTAATCTGCCCTCATGTTAAGGCCTCAAAAGAAAACTAGTAAATCACTTGCTGACAGCTGCCACTATTGAAGCTAGTATCTTATTTAAACCCAGGAATAAGAAGGAAGAAAGCATATTTTTGGCAAACAATCATCCACCAATTCCAACAATGTGTTTAAATGGCAAAAAGAGAAAACAGGAAAGTATTAACTTAGGTTGCCCGGCTGAAGCAGGAATGGCAAGTCCAACTTCTTCCATCACGTATAAGAAAGTACAGCAATAAGATAACTTTCTGCAGCTGGTGGCAAGCCCCTCAAATCCCTCACAAATATAGTGGGGACTACAGGTGTCCAGCACTGCAAGGAGAAAAAAAAATTCCCTTCTATGGGAGGCTCCTCCCTTCCTTCAGCCTCTGTGCTAGATGTTATAAAGGCCCACCGTGACTGCCGCTGGGAGGACATAAGCTACAGATGCATGACTACCTCACGGCAGAGTCTCCCCAAAATCCTTATTCTGTTAACCAGCCTTTTCTGAGGCAACTTTGCAAATATGCTAAATTCCAAGGAATTAAGGTTACCATTTAGGACATTCTTTTGACAATTAAAAGTGCATTTTCTTTTAGGATAGTTAAAATGTCAGCATAATCCTCTGACACAAACTCACAGAGTTGCTAATTTTGGACAAATTGTTTTTTAAGTTCTCTAGTTCAGCTGCTTCTAGTATTTCCTTCTTTAAGGTAATAATGCACTTTCAAACTGGATATTTAATAGTGAATGAAAAAATGATTACAAAAAAATGGACAAAGCCTAATCAACTAAAACTACAATGTCTACAAACATTATGTTTACATACAGAACATGTAGGAAGAACCATCAGTTTAGAAATAGCAGTAAGAAAAGACATTTCAAGACAGCTGCTTCATGTGCTGAGTGAGGATGCAGAGCAAAGCACCAGCCATGTAGCAGGAGGGGTCTACACAGCACAATGGAAGTGCCTTATCTGACTGGAAGACAGTGTTCCGCCCTCAGTGCCTCTGCGGTTTCCTGCATTTCAAGGACATGTTATACATCTAATCTTTTCTGATAACTACTATTAGAATTAAAGAGGCAGATGGTTTAGCCAGCCTGTTACCAAACAGGAGACATCTGCTGTGGAGAAGACATCAATAAATATTTCCCATTCAAAGATGTGGCGGCAGTCATTTTTAAATAAATATTTCTGTGTAATTCAGATCCACTTTCATATAACTATATTCCTTGAGCTAGAAAACATGTTCTCTTATTTAAAAAAAGGAGAAATATCACATAACAAAAATAAGAGAGCAAATAATACTGTAATCCAAGCTGAAGCTAGAAGTTTCAACATGTACAGGCTCACTTGGGAAATTATTAGGGACATAAACAGTGTAAGAGGGGCTTCCTGTTAAACTGAACACAGATGGTTACCTCTGCTCCCTCTCAAAACCTACAAAAACAAAGGCTGAAACCCATTAGGATAAAGAGAAAGAACAGCAGCAACCAAATGTCAAACCAACAAGAAGCAAACCTGTTCATGCCCCTGACGCCCAAGAAAGCCCAGTATTAGAAACATCAGCTCTATCTCTCCAGGGCAAGAACGAGGCCCGCGCCCGTAATCCATCTGAACAGTGAGCTCATAGGTCGGCTACCCTGTTCCATTCAGTGAGGCAACTGCAACCCACCACACAGCCCCCATTCCCCACCCCAATAGCAGAAGGCTAGGGTTTATTATGGAGAAAATGAACTTGACAAGTTCCAGGACTGGGACCTCAGGCACAGGGAAAATGGGAAAGAGTTGCCATAGGGCAAAAAGGGGAATTCAGCATAAGCCTATGAAGATACTGAACTGTGAAGGTGCCCAGCACCCTTGTATTATACCACCTCCTGCCCCTTTCCTGGCAGGAGATCATTCTTCTTTTTAAAAACTGACTGGCACTGGGCACAGTGGCTCATGCCTGTAACCCCAGCACTTTGGGAGGCTGAAGTGGGTGGATCACCTGAGGTCAGGAGTTCGAGACCAGCCTGGCCAACATGGAGAAACCCCGTCTCTACTAAAAATACAAAATTAGCCGGGCGTGGTGGCGCGTGCCTGTAATCCCAGCTACTCGGGAGGCTGAGGCAGGAAAATCGCTTGAACCCAGGAGGTGGAGATTGCAGTGAGCCGAGATCACGCCACTGCACTCCAGCCTGGGTAACAAGAGCGAAAGTCCGTCTCAAAAAACAAAACAAAACCACACACACACAAAACTGACTGGCTCTGGGGAAAAGACCTACAGATCTTAACATCTTGGGGTATTCCAACAAAATAAAACTGACCCCTGCCCAGGCACCCTACAGTGAAGCTCACCAGTTGGCAAATTCCACCTAAACAGGCAGGCTTGTCAACCGGCTTTGTAATGCTTTGTTCTTAAAGACAGATAAACACCACTAGACACCTGAGGAAGGCCTCTTCCGTAAAAGTCAGAAACCAGGAGAAAAAGAAAAGGAACAAAGAGGAAAGACAGATAATATAGGAAGTAGGACAAAATCTGAAAACAAAACAAAAACTGTAATTAAGTGTGAAGATGGAGGGTGCTGTCCTCAAGGTCCGGGCTGCAGTACTTCTGCACTTGTTACCATTTCTCTTCGGAAATTAGAAAACGGGCATTCTCAGGAGTACACAGCATCAACTACCAAGGAGGCACCAACGAAGAGGCTACTCTGCTCCACAGCAGTTCCCCAGTTCCCCAGGAGAATGACTGTGGGCCTTCCGAAGCCCTCCTCAAGCTTGAGTAAAAGGAGCCTGCATGGACCCCAAATCAGCAGAAACCCTTTCCCTTCTTCCGCCTCAGAGAAAGCCTTTCCCTTCTTCCGCCTCAGAGAAAGCCTTTCCCTTCTTCCGCCTCAGAGAAAGCCTTTCCCTTCTTCCGCCTCAGAGAAAGCCTTTCCCTTCTTCCGCCTCAGAGAAAGCCTTTCCCTTCTTCCGCCTCAGAGAAAGCCTTTCCCTTCTTCCGCCTCAGAGAAAGCCTTTCCCTTCTTCCGCCTCAGAGAAAGCCTTTCCCTTCTTCCGCCTCAGAGAAAGCCTTTCCCTTCTTCCGCCTCAGAGAAAGCCTTTCCCTTCTTCCGCCTCAGAGAAAGCCTTTCCCTTCTTCCGCCTCAGAGAAAGCCTTTCCCTTCTTCCGCCTCAGAGAAAGCCTTTCCCTTCTTCCGCCTCAGAGAAAGCCTTTCCCTTCTTCCGCCTCAGAGAAAGCCTTTCCCTTCTTCTGCCTCAGAGAAAGCCTTTCCCTTCTTCTGCCTTAGAGATTTGCCTTGCTTCTCTGACCTCCCCGCATCCCAGCCCAAGAGCCCTTTCTGTACCCGTAGAGAGCTGAGGATGGGGGCATTCAAGTGACTTTGTCATCACCCTAATAGGAAATGTAAGTGACTTTTACAAGTTTAGTCCAAGTACTGTTTTCTTTTTTTTGGAGACAGAGTCTTGCTCTGTCACCCAGGCTGGAGTGCAGTGGTGCGATCTCGGCTCACTGCAACCTCCACCTCCTGGATTCAAGTGATTCTCCTGCCTCAGCTTCCCAAGTAGTAGCCAAGCCTGGCTATTTTTGTATTTTTAGTAGGGACAGGGTTTCACCACGTTCCTCAGGCTGGTATCGAACTGCTGACTTCAAGTGATCCACCTGCCTGGACCTCCTAAAGTGCTGGGATCACAGGTGTGAGCCACCGCGCTGGGCCCTGTTTTCTTAATAACAATGCTAAATGTGATAAGATTCTTTTCTGAGAATCCCAATTAAAGCATTCTGTTTCCTAGTGTTCTTACTAGGTTCACTTTATAGATTTCAAAGGAAAAAAAACCAGCCTGAAGGGTCCTTGTTGAAAACATTTCAAATATAAGGTTCATTTATGGCATCCTTGAAAGTAATTCAGAAACTCTTTGAGGAAAACAGAAACCTTTTAACTATACCAAAGAGGTGAGATTAGAGACAGGTGTTCATCAACTTCTAACAATCAGGAATTCTCCTTAGCATTACATGAAAAAGAATAAAGATCTCCCATTCTCAATTTGTCAAAATCATTCTCTTCTTTTCAGAGCCCAGTTAAAAAAAATAAAAACCAGGCCGGGCATGGTGGCTCATGCCTGTAATCCTAGCACTTTGGGAGGCTGAGGCGGGTGGATCACGAGGTCAGGAGTTCGAGACCAGCCTGACCAACATGGTGAAACCCTGTCTCTACTAAAAATACAAAAAAAAAAATTAGCTGGGCGTGGTGGTGTGCGCCTGTAATCTCAGCCACTTGGGAGGCTGAGGCGGGAGCACTGCTTGAACCCAGGAG
Source organism: Homo sapiens (assembly GCF_000001405.40). Classification (NCBI taxonomy): domain Eukaryota; kingdom Metazoa; phylum Chordata; class Mammalia; order Primates; family Hominidae; genus Homo; species Homo sapiens. Next base: position 194,664,850 of record NC_000003.12, read on the forward strand.
GCGGAGGTTGTGGTGAGCTGAGATCGTGCCATTGCACTCCAGCCTGGGCAATAAGAGCAAAACTCCGTCTCAAATAAATAAATAAATAAATAAATAAATAAAAAACATAAAAACCACCCCGTGATTTCCTCAATACTTATCAACCACTCCTTCCTCTGCTATGACTCAGCCCACTGCCTTTCTATCTGCAGCAAAGCAGGAATCATACTGCCCTCTGTATTTCACTACGTATTAAGTTTTCTGAGTGCAAGAATTGCATGTCATTCATCTGTGTGTCCCTGGTGCCTGGTGCTTTGCTTAGCATTTAGCTGAACATGGTGTAACTCGGCTGACAGGAGCTCTGACATTCGCCTCTCCCCATAACATAGATGCTCTTTGCAGGCAGGAACTTAACTCTTTTTCGTATCCATATTTTCCACATTACCAGTAGAAACCAAATATACATTTGCTAAAATATCTATATAGGTGCTTCAGAATTCACCTTGCAGAAAATGTTCATTATTCTCACACACTTATCAACATATTCATCTAACAACAAAAAAACTATACAAAATATACGGTAGTATCATGCTGTGTTTTTATAATTCTCAGTAACCCTCTGCATAGCTTAATTCCCATACCCTGAGCCTATAAGCCTATATCAACAGCCAAATCGAATATAACTTCACTACAATGTCTTTATTACACAAAAGAAAATGATAATTCACCTTCTCTCAATGACTCTCCAGAGCTGGCGCCAAAAGTCCAAATTTCGTTCAAATGGAGTCAATATCAGCTTCTGTTCCTCTTCTAGCCTAGTTTTTGAATGAGAAGTTTATATATTTGCCAGATTATAATAGACAATTTTTAGCAGTGTAAATGCTCAAATTTATTACATTAAAAATAAGTACTGGGCACAAATATCCAGAGTCAAATTATTTTATATATTTCCTGCTGAGACACCATAAAAATACTATTTATTTAGACAATACTCCACCAAATTCAAATTTTATCCTGAAGCTATTTATGCCCTGGAAGTTTACCTATCACACAAAGTCATTTCTTTCCCACACTCTTACTGGAAAAATGTGCAGGAGAGCAGCGATCAACTCCAGGATGCCCAATGGCCAAAGAAGGGAATGAAAGGAAAAGGCCCGGAACTGAGCAGAGTAACCAACTCACGATCTCTGTGCAAGGATGCATTTGCACCTAGCAATCTTGTTTGTGCATACATCTATTTGCACTTGTTAGCAGAATGCTACCATTTCCTTCTTAAAAGAATCAAAACTTCAAAACACAAATGGCTGTGTAAGCATGCCAAATATCTGAACTCAGGATTTCAAAGTAAGTCTTCATAGAGTCTATAATACTCACCGGACAAGCTGACGTCTCCATTCTAGAAAGTTATCTTTCTCTGCTTGTTTGAGTTCTTCTGGGGTAGTATTTTGGTTCCAGTTTGGTCTGAAACAATCATAGAAGGAAAAAAATTCCTCATATAAGTAACCAAAATAAAATAGGTAATTTGGATCTAATAATGGCAGCTGAGAAAAAGAAGCAATTTAAAAAATGAATACTCAGCAGCCTCGGATGTTTTGTGGCATTCTAAATTCTTCTTCAGCTCACCTCCTCGGTATACACAAGAACTGTTTGTTTTCTTCATGGAGCTTCTTAATTCTCTGGCTCTCCTCGAAAGACAGTAGTCCAGTTCTAGCCTCAGCAGGCACAAACTTAATATTAAGTTTCTCTGTTCAAATAAAGAAAAGTACTATTACTTAAGAGGCAGTATAGATACAGAGTGTTTGGTCATACTGATAAACTGAGAAAACTAAAAATGAGAGCCTAAGAGAACTTAAGATTTCTTGATTTAGATTCTTCTAGCCTTGGGTAAATTATTATTCCCAAATGAAGTTTTATACCAAATAACTATCCAGAGTTACTACATTCTTTTTGACTGCCACACAGTATTTCATACTGTGTCTATATCACATTTTCCCTGCTATTGAACATTCAGTTTCCAAGTTTTCATTATTAAAATACAGCATCATCTGGTAGCTTGTTAAAAATGTAAATGCTGCAGCTCTAACCCCCACTCACTGAATAGATGCTCTGGAGTCTAGAGGATAGGGCCAGGAATCTGTATGAAAGAGTTCTCCGGGCAATTCTGCTGCTCTGGGGTAGATGCTGAGAAGTAGAGGTGCTGGCTCATAGGATATGAAACTGTAAACTTGCTTTCTTTGTCTTCTGTTTTTTTTTTGAGACAGAGTCTCACTCTGTCACCCAGGCTGGAGTGAAGTGGCACAGTCTCGGTTCACTGCAACCTCAAACAATTCTCCCAACTCAGCCTCCTGAGTAGCTGGGACTACAGGCCCGCACCACCACGCCCGGCTAATTTTTGTATTTTTAGTAGAGACGGGGTTTTGCCATGTTGGCCAGGCTGGTCTCGAACTACTGACCTCAGGTGATCCGCCCGCCTCGGCCTCCCAAAGTGCTGGGGTTACAGGCATGAGCCACCGCACCCAGCCTGCAACTGTAAACTTCGAACAGATACTGCCAAAACAAATCTTTCCAACTTCCCTCTCTACTGTCTCACCCCATAACCTAAGAACATACTACCATTAACCCTGATCCTTCTCATACACACCCTTACACTTCTCTTTCCCTGCCATAGTCAGCTATCTCAGGAGAATACAACTTGCTCATTCCTTGATTTCCTCACCTCCCACTTCCTGTTTCTCTAGATTCCAGCTGTGGCTCTCTCACTCCACTAAAACTGTTCTGGCAGATATTACTAATGACTTTAAGAAGAAAATAGCAGCCAGGTGCGGTGGCTCACGTCTGTAATCCCAGCACTTTGGGAGGGCAAGGTGGGCGGATCACAAGGTCACGAGTTCGAGACCAGCCTGGCCTACAAGGTGAAACCCCCGTCTCTAGTAAAAATACAAAAATTAGCCAGGGGTGGTGGTGCATGCCTGTAATCCCAGCTACTCAGGAGGCTGAGGCAGGAGAACCGCTTGAACCTGGGAGGCAGAGGTTGCAGTGAGCTGAGATCGCACCACTGCACTCCAGCCTGGGCGACAAGAGAGAGACTCCGTCTCAAAAAAAAAAAAAAAAAAAATATATATATATATATATATATATATAGCTTTACTACAATATGATTCACATACTATACAATCCACCCACTAAAGCATACAATTCAATAATTTTCAGTATATTCACAGAGTTGTGCAGCCATTGCCACAATCCATTTTAGAATATTTTCATCACTCCAAAAAGAAAGCTTTACCCATTAGCAGTCACTGTACACCCCCAGGTACCTGGTGGAAATCATCTACTTTCTGTAGATTTGCCTCTTTAGGACTTTTTGGTGTTTCCACTTTTTGGTGATTACGAATAATGCTGCTATGAATACACATGCACATATTTTTGTGTAGACATGTTTTCATTTCTTTCGGGCATATACCCAGGAGTGGGACTGCTGGATCAGATGGTAATTCCATGTTTTACCTTTTGAGGAACTGCCAAAATTTTTTTATAAAACAGCTACACCATTTTATACTCCCACAGCGATGTATGGTGTTATAATTTCTCTACATCCTCACCAACATTTGTTATAGTCTCTTTTATTTTAGCTATCCTAGTGGGTGAAGTGGTTATTTCACTGTGAAACCCAGGAGTTTATTTTTGTCCCTTCACTCTTTTTCACTTACACTACCCTCTCCATCAAGTCTGGTTTACTCTAGCTCCTTAAGTGTTCTTGTTCCTCTTATTTTCTCCCTTCTTCTACTACCTGTATTTCAGTTCTGGCCTATTTTGCTAGACTAAAGTGATACAGTCTCCTAACTCATCTTGCTTCCTTAAAATTCATCAGTGATCTTTTAAAAAATGAAATCTCATGTACCCATGAGACATACCTGCACTCCCATGTTCCCTGCAGCGCTATTCACAAGAGCCAAGATATGGAACCAACCTCAATGCCCATCAACGTATGAATGGATAAAGAAAACGTGGTATATGTAGTATACAATGGAATACTATTCAGCATTACAAAAGAGGGAAATGTTGACACTTGTGACAATATGAATGAACCACTCTGCTATGAGAAATAACCCAGGCACAGAAAGACAAATACCACATGATCTCACTTATACGTGGAATAAAGCCGAGCTCATAGAAGCAGAGAGAAAATGGTGGTTACCAGAGATTAGGGAGTGGGGCAAATAGGAGGATACTGGTCAAACGGTAAAGTTTTACTGAGGCAGGATGAATAAGTTCTGGAGGTCTAATGTACAGCCTGGTGTCCATAGTTAATAATAACACATTTATTAGTTAATAATATGAAATTTGCTAAGACAGTATATATCTTGTTCTCACCGCACACACAAAAAAACAATGTGAGGTGATGGATACGTTAATTACTTGATTTTAGTAATCATTTCACAATATATACATATAACCAAACGTCACACTATATACTATAACTATATACAATTTTTAGTTGCCAATTGTGTAGCTCATTAAAGCTGGAACCCACACATCCCCCCAAAAAACACTAAACAATGAAATCTGAAATCATGTTGTACACGTGCTTAAAGCCCTGTAAAGCCTTAAACCTTTGTTCTCTCCAGAATCTGGCCCTTGCCCACCTCCTCAGCACCTGTGCTCATCACATCCCGCCCCCTGCACCAGCAAAGCCAAACTTCTAGCCATTTTCTGAACAAAGTTGGCTGCTGCTTCACATCTGGGCTCGAGTCCTCTGCCTGTCTGTGTAAAAGGTCTTATCTCATCTGTCCTTTGAACATCTACTCATTGTTCAAGACTCAGGGCGGGCACGGTGGCTCACACCTGTAATCCCAGCACTTTGGGAGGCCAAGGAAGGCGAATCACGAGGTCAGGAGATCAAGAACATCCTGGCCAACATGGTGAAACCCCATCTCTACTAGAAATACAAAAATTAGCCAGGCGTGGCAGTGCGTGCCTGTAGTCCTAGCTACTTGGGAGGCTGAGGCAGGTGAATTGCTTGAACCCAGGAGGCGGAGCTGCAGTGAGCTGATATCACGCCACTGCACTTCAGCCTGGGTGACAGAGCGAGACTCCATCTCAAAACAAAAAACAAAAAAAACCTCAGCCCCAGATGGAAATGTGACAGTCTCACCTGCACTCAGCAATAAACAACTTACCAGCTACAAACTCTGTTCCTGCAAGTTCTGCAGTAGCAAGGAAGTCATCAAGGGAGCTCTGTTCAGTCACTGACTGAAGATTAAGACGACCCCAATCATAGCCATCATTGAGTTCACTTGTGTGCAACTATGAAAAAACACAGGGTGATAAATACAGCTGCTCTCTTCTGCTCTTGGCATCCAATAAGCTCTAAAATTCCTTGCAACTAGTCTATGGTCTTGAGGGTGGTTGTAGTCCCTTTAGAATCAATACTACTTATAGTTAATGTTTAAAGGAACACGTTCTTACCTCACAATAGGCAGTTCCCTTTCACCATTTCATTAATTTTCAAAATCTTTTGAGGTGAATTTTACTGTATTTCCATTTTACTGATGATGAAACTAAGGCTTCAGCAGATAAAATAACTTGCCTATAGTCAAAATCTAAATGGCACAGGTAGAACTTGAACCCAGATTGTCTGACTGTGCTAGTCAAAATTAGTCAAAACTTTATTTGATATAATCCCACAATAAGAAATACATTTTACATAGTGACCCAAAGGTGTATGTACATATAATGATACAAGCATTCAAGTACCGTTCAGTACAGTAAAATGGCAATAGAAGAATACTGAAACCACACCCTATTACATGCAACATTCTGATATTTCTCTATCTTGCTGGGGAAAAAATAAAAACAAAACAAAACAGCTAGCTGCAGACCACTAAATTGACTTCCAGACACAACCCAGAGTTTGATAACCATCACCCTAAGCTATATACTTAGTATAGATACAAATAAAAAAAAATTGCCAGGCGTGGTGGTTTGTGCCTGTAACCCCAGCTCCTCAAGAGGCTAAGGCAGGAGGATTGCTTGAGGCCAGGAGTTTGTGATCAGCTTGGGCAACACAGCAAGACCCTGTCTCTCCAAAACAAACAAACAAAACCAAACAACCAGGCCTGATGGTGTGCACCTGTAATGCCAGCTACTCAAGAGACTGAGGCAGGGGGATTATTTGTGCCCAGAAGTTTGAGACTGTAGTGAATTGGTGAGTTATGATCACACCACTGGCACTCTAGCCTGGGTGACAGAGTGTGACCCTGTCTCTAAAAATGAATAACTGAATGATGAATGAATTTCCTAAATAAATATTAAGGGCCAAAAGTTTAAGTGGGCATAGAATCAGCAAAAATAAGGAATTAGGATCCAATTCTTTACCATTCATGTTCAATCTTCCCACAGTTTCCTAAAAGGCTTCATTAGTAACAAGTTGCTTCAAAGCTAATAAAAATTACCAGTAATCTAATGTCCAGAGTAACTCTGACCTGATGAATACTGATAAGCACTCCATGCTGTTTACTCTGCAGACTATATGGATGAAAGTCAGCTGGTGTGACAGTGGCACACGCTTACTTAGCTCCAGGGACATATTTAACTAAATTTAGCACACGATCTTAGCACTCAACATGTTCTCATTCATTCCCGGGGGAATGAATGGTGAAAATAACGACTAGAATGATGAACACAAGCCAAATCACTTCATTCATTTTTTTAAAGATCCTTCTATAACCTAGTAAAATATTAGGTCTTGTCACACCTGAAAAATCAATGATTTATCTTTGAGCTAAACCACTAGGGGGTGCTTCGCAAGGATGAGGCAAGGATCTGAATTATTTTATATTTCTGGCAGTAACCAACCGCTTCTGGAGGATCCATTCTTTGAACAAATCAATACAAAAATACGTTTTGTCTTTTTCCTGCTCTGGAAGTTCCAAGCACTTCAGTGGCTTCTAGGGCAAAACCCAAACGTACTCAAGACCTGGCATTGAAGACTCTTCAGATTCTCACTCCACGCCTCATCACCACACTAACTCTTCTTTCAAGCTTCTCCTACCTTTGTGTTCTGGGCCTTGCCAGGAGGAGGGCCTGCTACTCAGCTTGGCAGAAACTCCAACTCATCCTTCAAAACCCGGCTGAGGCGTCCCTCCTGCAAAACTTATCTGACTTTTGACCCCGAATTTTGCAGCACTCAGGCTAGACAGAAAAGATAAGAAAGATGACATGGTCTGTCTTACCCAGGAGTCAGTGTGACGATGGCTTCGGCTCCGCTGAGTCTGATGGCGCATAAGGGCCCGTCCCAGCGACCCACCGGCCGGGGCTCTCCTCCGGCCCATGGCAACACGACCGCTGGACGAAGCTTCCCGGCTCGGCGCGTGCAGTTTCCGGGATTCACAGTTCGATCCCCGGAAGTGACGATAAGCGAGCCCAAGTAGTTCAGGCTCAAACTTGAGAGGGGAAAGCAGAATGACTTGTTCTCAAGTTCTCCTTTTACGTCTCGATTTTACCAGTATTATAGAATATAAGTGAAAAAATGGTTCTGGGAAATTTTCGATAGATTTCCTGGCGAATGTCTCGAGTTTGGATAAATGACTGAGTTAAAAGAATGGTCCATTCTTAATTTGTGCGTCGGTCTTTAGCGTCCGGCGAGAAACTAGAGCACGTCGGAAACATGGCGGTTCCTATTCGCGGCACTAGCTCCGCCTTCCGCTGCTTCCGTCAGGAGGACGCGGAGACTCGGAGGAAGAGTGTTTCGGTGGCGCTGGGACGGGGGCGTTTCCCAGCGCTGGTTTTCTGCTGGCGTCCCGAGGTGTGGTCTCTCCGAGGTCCAGCACAGCAACTAACTTTTTGTTTATCTAGCCGACCCCAGCTGCGAACTGGGGAGAAAAGTCTTCGCCTGGATGTGAATTTGGAATGAGAGGCTGAATAGTATTTCCAGAGCTTGGCAAGGTTGTAGGAAAAGCCAACAGGAAGTGACTTACGCTTTATTTCAAAGAAAAAAAAAATGTTTAAACAGTTCTAATTATATTTTCATTACCCTTTTTAAAAATAATTAAAATGAAAGTGAAAACAGTGAGCCAGCTCCACTCCTAGAGGCCTGGGCTTTTGTTCCTCACTTGAATGTTTGATTTCCCTATAATGGGAATAATAGAAAGTCAGCTTAGAGTGGCTGGTGAACTACATTCTCATTGATCCAGAGAACCATCTCTTTGTTTTGATGCTTGGAGAGAGGAAGCAGCTTGAGCAAGTCGTAGATTGAGTGCGTGCAGTGTCAGGAATAAACCCAAGTCTTGTCACTAGCCTGTACACCCCTGGGGAGAGTGGGGAATGAGGGTTGTTAACATGTATTATTTATTTATTTTTATCTTTTGAGACAGAGTCTCGCTGTCCCCCAGGTGGAGTGCAAAGGCATGATCTCGGCTCACTGCAACCTCTGCTTCCCGGGTTCAAGTGATTCTCCTGCCTTAGCCTCCCGAGTAGCGGGAATTACAGACACGTGCCACCGCACCCAGCTAATTTTTGTATTTTTAGTAGAGACAGGGTTTGACTATTTTGGCCAGGCTGGTCTCGAACTCCTGACCTCAGGTGATCGCCCGCCTCGGCCTCCCAAAGTGCTAGGATTACAGGTATGAGCCACTGCGCCTGGCCAAACATGTATTTTTAAATCATAGGATCGAGGTAATGCATATATTACCTAGCATAGCTTGATTTAGCCATTCCACAATGTACACATATATCAAAACATTATGCGGTACAACGTAAGTAATAAACAATTTTTAGTTGTCAATTAAAACAACAGCCAAAAAGAAATAAATAGGATCAAGAATCTGTTTAACCTAGGGCTTTTCACACTTTAATGTGCATATAAATCCCCTGGGAATCTTGTTAACATGCAGATTCTGATTCATAAGCTCTGGGGTGAGGCCTGTGGCTCTAACAAGCTTCCAGGTGATACCCATAGTACTGGTCCTTGGGTCACACTTTGAGTAGCAAGCGTAGTCCACTCTTTCCTGGTGCAAATGAAGACACAGAAGTGGACTGGCTAAAGGTCAGTCATAGCAAGTTAGCATCAGGCGAAACTGGGTCCAGACTCCCACCCATTCTGAATTCCCTGCCAGGGTTTCTGTGTGCTGCACCTTACCCCTCTTACTGAATTGAAGTGAGTTTTGGGAAATGCCCAAGGGACTGCTGGCAAGCTGTGAAGCAGTTGGCAACGCTTTGAGAAGGCAGTGCTCACAGATGAGCAAAGGAATGCATCAGAACATCATTTCTCCCATTTCTCAATTTAGAAACAGTGTATCTTTAAAATCCTACACATAATCTCCAGAAGTAAGATATGAAGAAGACCCACGAAATAGAATTAGCAGACAGCTCCCGGCATTCTCTCCAGAGCTAAGTGGTTAAAGGTCAAACTAACTCATGAAGTAAGATTTCACATTTTAATAATAATACTAGGAGGTGAGATAAAGAAACTCACCATCTCATTCCTAGAGCTCAACCAGGAACTTGGGACTTCATCTAGTTTCTTTTTCCAGATTTTGTCACCTCTGGAGAAAATAAACACTTTGGTTTTCCACTGTTACTTTTCTAAGGGCTTAAAAAATCTTGACCAAATAAGACCAGGCGTGGTGGCTCACGCCTGAAATCCCAGCACTTTGAGAGGCTGAGGCGGGTGGGTCACCTGAGGTCAGGAGTTTGGAGACAAGCCTGGCCAACATGATGAAACCCCGTCTCTGCTAAAAATAGAAAAATTAGCCCGGTGTGGTGGCATGCACCTGTAATCCCAGCTACTCGGGAGGGTGAGGCAGGAGAATTGTTTGAACCCGGGAGACAGAGGTTGCAGTGAACCCACATCGCACCACTGCACTCCAGCCTGGGCAACAAGAGCGAAACTTCGTCTCCAAAAAAAAAAAAAAAAACTTAACCAAATAAACCAAAGTGATAATCAGGAGTGGTGAGGAGTCAAAAGGTCATAAAGATTTAATTAGCAGCAACTACTCCTAGCTGACAAGAAAAGGATAGATAATCCTAATATTTCTCCCAAGACGTTACGAAAATCTACCGATGACAGACAACTGAGTCTCAGTCTTCTCATCTGGTTAATGAGGCTAATAACAATTCCTGCCCTGAAGAGGTAACAAATGAGATAATGCTGCAAGGTGATTGCCTAGTAATTTGTGGGGGTATCATCTGGCACAGCTGAACACGTTTTCTTTCCCCAAAAACTAAGCAATGACGGTGAAAGCCCAGCTGGATAACTGTTCAGTGAGAAGGACAAGGAGGAAAGGAATTGAAGGTGTTGATGAGACAAGATCATGGGACCCAGATTAAAAGGAAGGAGGTAAGATCGTGGGGGAGTGATGATGGTGGTGACGGAGGGTGGAGCAAGGTGCTGGCTGCTGCCCAAGTGAGGGGGTTGCAAAGATGAATCAGTCCAGGTCCCTGCCCTCCAACTGCAGAAACCATTTCACCCACACACTTCAGGAACAGCAATACCTAGCCGAACCCCTGTCACTGCTTTCTCACGCCAGCGGAAACTGTCGCCCACCAGGCTTGTGACTGGAAGATGGGCCAGATCCTCCCGATTCCCCACGTAGCTGAACGCTTCCGTTAAAGCCAGGATTCTCTGAAAAGCTGGCTCCTGGAGGAGGCTGCATTGATTTGGGGATTGGAAGCCTGGCACCCAGCTTCTAAATAGTGACACAGGGAGTGTTCCCTATTCATGGGGTTGCATAATGCTTGATTTCTACCGCGTCTCAACAAATGTAGTTACAAGCTCTGAAACCCACACCCAGCAACAAACTTTGGAGTTGCTTTCAGCTTTCCAAGTCCACACTGTTGTGCCTCTGGGCTCCACATCTGTCTGAGGAAGGAGAGGAAAGAGTGGGTTGGTTTCTGTTGTTTTTCCTGTCATACTTTGGCCAAAAATGAGTTGGTGGCAGAAAAGTTGTTCCAAGGCGAGCTTGCAGTCTGGTCTCTCCTTCTTTCCCATACGATACACCACCTCCTTCTACAAGGACATTAAAACAGTTTGCATAAGACTGAGAGTTGTGAAAATAGACACTGGCAGCCTCTGTAGAGCGTAATTGAATCAGTAGGGAAACTCCCTATGATTAACTGCCATTCTCAGTTTATCCCTATTGAAAATGGGTGGATTCTCACGAGTTTCATAATTCAGCAGATTTTAAAAAATCTTTTAAATTGACATATAATAATTGTATGTATGTATGAGGTGGTTTTGATACATGTATACATTGTGTAATAATCAAATCCGAGTATTCAGCATATCCATCACCTCAGTTATCATTTCTTTCTGGTAAGAACATTCAAAATCCTCTCTTCTAGTTATTTTGAAATATACAACACAATATTGTCAACCATAGTCACCCTACTGTCAGCAGACATTTATTGGTGGCTATTATAATGATTAATTTGAGTCCCTGCAATCAAACATTGATTTCTTGCCTGTGCAAGGAAATGTGTAAAAGACCTCTTGCTTTGGTGACACAGGCCACAAGATCCTATGTATTTGAACCCACGAACTTTTTCTCAACTCGTGTTATGTATGGAATATCTAGTGTCTTTTATTCAGAGATGCCTTTGCAATTACTTTTTCCCTCTTGACAGTCAAGTGAAAAAGGGTATTGTTATTTTACTGCACTTTTAGCTGTAGAAGTTGAGTCTCAATAGGGTTAAGTTAAGCAAATAAAGTAAAATAAAGGAGGCTAGAAGTAGAATTAATAATCACCAACTCTAAAATCTGTACATGGAAAGTCCTAGGTTTCTCCCATTCATTCATTCACTCATTCATTCATTCACTCACTCATCCATTCATTCATTCACTCATTCATTCATTCATTCATTCATTCATTCATTCATTGGTTCATTCATCACAGGACTCTGAGGATTCAGCACTGGACGAACTCCCTGCCCTGAAGAGCTTACACTTTAGTGGTGATCAGCCTAATAGAGAGACTCAGCCAGGGTTAAAGAGCTCAAGTCAGGGAGCCATGAACTACACCACCAGGTAGACCTTACTCCATTAAGAGGGCTTCTGACCACCAGGATTTTATGTTTTGTCTCTGAAAGTGATCCATCTCCTTAATTCCCCATAGTAAATATCCTAATACATATATGCATGTAAACCATAGTAAATATCCTAATATATATATGCATGTAAACCTGGATGGTGCTGGAACGCACAACTATGTCGTATGAGGAAAAGGTGATGGAAATGAGACTAGCCTAAGGAGGGAGGCTCCAGGGGTATGTGGGAACCATTTCCATTGATGTGGAGGACTGTCATAGGGAAAGGAGAGAAGACTGTTCTGAGAAGACACAAGGCAAGAACAACCAGAACAAATGGGTAGAAATCACAGGGTTATAATTTGAGGTTCAATTTGTTGGAAACTTCTTACAATCAGAGGGGCTCAAAGACATATTGGACAGCTTAGTAAGGTAGTGAGCTCCCTGCCACCAGAGGCATTCAAGCAAAAACCAGATAATCAGGTGTCAGATGTTCTAAGTCAGGTTCAAGCCTCAAAGTGGGTGTTGGAATAAAGAACTGCTAAGGTACTTAACAGATTCCTGACCCTGGTAGGTTCTCTTCCTTTTTATGCTATCCCTTGCCTCATCCCAGTATTTGAAATCGCAAGGGAACAGTGATGGTCTCAGAAATGGTGCCTAGGTTGGCAAAAGCAGGGTGGTGCCTTCAGCATGTCACATGAGAAAAAGAGTACATCTTGCCCTCATTGTCATGAGATAGTTGAGGGTACCGAGAACCAACATTTAGCAAATTCAGCCATCATTAGTCACAGATACTACTAACACAAATGGAAATGTTAAAAAGAATCAGTTTGAATGAAAGATCCATGGTTTCTGCTTTAAAGTTAATCATGTAGGGGTAACATGTCCCCTCCTTCCATCTTCAGAGGGGACAAACCCATCTTGACTGGTCCCTGCCTTTGGTGGCACTGAGGAGAAGGCTCGTTTGTAAGGCTCATGATTTCATCACTCTTGGCTTCCTTCTAGTGCCCTTGCATTTCTGCCTGGATCTCCAAAGCCTATGTTCTTTGTGTTTGGGTCAGGCGAGGGCCTGACTCCTGATGGCAGGTTGTCCATCAGAACAACTACCTTCTGCATGGACCATTTTCTTCCTCTGGACCGCTCTCTCCTGCCTCTGTCTACGGCAATCTGCCCATCCTTCCATGCTTAGCATGAAGTCCGCTTCCTTCCTAAAGAGGGCCCTGGCCTGGGCACTGTTTGACTACACGTTATTTCTCCTGCAATGGGAAATGGGCTACCAGACTCTCAGAGACCCAAGTGCGAACCTCGTCCAAGGTTCCAAGCAAGCAGCCCATGAAAGGAGAGGCTCCAAGGCAAGGGGCATGGTGAGAACACTTCTGGGAGCTTTGGTCACAGGGTGACCTCCAGAGTTCGTAGACCTCTGACTTGTCTGTTGGTTCTCTCTCACTCCTGCAATTTCCTGTCATGGGCTCTGTTTTGATCTTTTGTCTTTTATATTTATTTATTTATTTATTTTCAGCGCGCTTTGTTGGAAACATGGCTTCTGTTTTGAGTTAATGGTGTCCCTTACAAAGACATGATCAGGCCTGGTGGCTCATGCCTGTATGTAATCCCAGCATTTTGGGAGGCTGAGGTGGGAGGATTACTTGAGCCCAGGAGGTCGAGGTTGTGGTGAGCTATGATAGTGCCACTGCACTCCAGCCTGGGCAACAGAGCGAGACCTAACCCCTAGTACTTGTGGATGTGCTTTTATTTGGAAAAAGGTCTTTTTTTTTGAGATGAGGTTTCACTATGTTGTGCAGGCTTGGTCTCAACCTCCTGGGCTCAAATGACCCTTCTGCCTGGGCCTCCTGAATATTGGGATTACAGGCATGAGCCACTCACTGTACCAGGTTTGGAAAAGGGTGTTTGCAGATGTAATCAAGTGAAGATGAACTCATACTGGATTAGACGGGCCCTAATCCAGTAACTACTGTTTTAGAAAGAGAAACATTTGGCTGCATATGCAGAAGACAAAGAAGGAGAGGCCAGAGGCAGAGACTGGAGCAATATGTCTAAAAAACAAGGAACGCCAAGGATGACAGGCAGCCATCAGAAGGCAGTAAGATGCAAGGAAGGATGCTGCCTTCTCCCAACCTCCAAAATTGTGAGGATACATTGTTGTTGTTTTCAGCCACCTCATTTATGGTAATCTGTTATGGCAGCTGCAGGAAATACCTGCAGCTTTCTTGTGATCTTAGAAATGAATGAGGATTTGCTCAGCTCCCCAATAGGCAGAGAAGGGCAGCAGCGTGCTCCGGGACCCTCGGTGAGTCAGGGCTGGAGGGCGGGGGTCTGGATTCCTTCTTGGCCAATCTTGTGTACCTGAGCCTTGGCTCTGATCGTGGCATGTCCCTGCTCTAGCACCTCCAGTGACTCACCACAGCTTATGAGACGCCTCCTCCTGCCATTCAGGGCCATCAGGAGTCAGGCCCTGGCCTGACCCAAACACAAAGAACACAGGCTTTGGAGATCTTGGGCAAATTTCTTAACTCCTCCAAGCTGTGGTCCTTTCCCCCGGAAAAATGAAGAGACTAGCACAGACCTGACAACACTCTTAGGAGCATGAAATGTTTGGACGGATCTGACTCAGCACAGTGTCTGACATGCGGTAGGGGCTCAGTGCTTTTGCATTCCCTCCTTTTGCCCAGTTGTTGGATGTTCAACACTAACTACCTTCTGCATGGGCCATTTTCTTCCTCTGGACCGCTCTCTCCTGCCTCTGTTGACAGCAATCTGCCCCTCCTTCCATGCTTAGCATGAAGTCCACTTCCTTCCTAAAGAGGGCCCTGGTCTGGGCACTGTTTGACTACAAGTTATTTCTCCTGCAATGGGAAATGGGCTACCAGACTCTCAGAGACCCAAGTGCGATGTCGACCACAACAGAGACCCGTCTCACTGGTGGAGTCCTGTGACAGTCATGCTTGACTCTAACGTCTTTGGGGGCAGTGAGAGCCATTAGCAAAGTGCACTTTTCATTAAGGGGCCCAGCGAGTGGCCACTCAGTCAAGTCACAGAAGTATGTTTGGCTTTCTGCTCCTGTTCAGATCATCAAATGAACCTGTGAGCCCCCAAGCAGCTCTTCCTAGAGGGGGAGCAAACGAAGGACGTGGGTTCTACATACATATATGTGTTTAGAAGCTTTTGGCTTTACGTTTAGCCACAGGAAAGGGCCCTGGATTGAGATTCAGACCACATGGATCCTCATATTGGTGTGGCCACTAAGTTACTGTATGGCCATGCACCTGCGCTGTCAGGGCCTCAGTGTCCTCATTTGTAAAGCCAGGGGAGGTTGACTAGATTATCTCGAAGGGCCTTCCAGACAACGCTCTTCCAGTTCTGACAGTCTGTGCTCATGACAGTCCCATGACTTTGAAAATAAACACATGGTTAATGTTCGTTCTAGAAACACTTGCCATACATTAATTTGGTGGCTGGCATTGTGCTGGAAGTTGGGGATACAAAGAGTGAATAAAATACAGTCACCAGCCATAAGGAGCCCATAGTCTACTGGGGGAGACAGAGAGTTAAAGACGATACTATAGGCCAGGCACGGTGGCTCGCGCCTGTAATCCCAGCATGTTGGGAGGCCGAGGTGGGCAGATCACAAGGTCAGGAGTTCGAGACCAGCCTGGCCTTGGTGAAACCTCGTCTCTACTTAAAAAATACAAAAATTAGCCAGACGCGCTTTTGCGCACCTGTAATCCCAGCTACTCAGGAGGCTGAGGCAGGAGAATCACTTGAACCTAGGAGGCAGAGGTTGCAGCCGGCCGAGATTGTGCCGTTGCACTCCAGCCTGGGCAACAGAGACTCCATCTCAAAAAAAAAAAAAAATTAGCCGGGCATGGTGGTGGGTGCCTGTAATCCCAGCTACTCAAGGGGCTGAGGCAGGAGAATCACTTGAACCTGGCAGGCAGAGGTTGCAGTGAGCCAAGATCACGCACTCCAGCCTGGGCAACACAGCAAGACTCAAAAAAAGACAATATTATAACAGGGCAAGTGCAGAGGTAAGGATGCACACAAGGGCATGTGGAGAGGCGATGAGTAGGCCTAGGCGGTTTACCTGGAGAAAATGGTATCCAAGATGGCTCTGTAAGAATGAGTAAGCCTTGGCCGGGACAAATGGCAGGAGGAGGTCATATCAGTTAGATAGAGCCACATAAGGCATGGCAGGAAGGGAAAAACCACTCTCATGAGCATGGGGAGAAGCATAGGCTATTCTCTGTGGCTGGTTCATAAATTAGGAGTCCAGGAGAAAAGAATGAGGTTGGAGACATAGGCAGGTGCCAGACCTGAACATTCTCATGTGTTATACTGAGGAGTGGGAGTGTACCGTGTGGCTGATGGGAAGCCATTTTGAAGGTTAAAAGGGGAAGAGAGAAAAGGTCAGAGGTGTGGTTTGGTAAGTATTGAAGGTGGCTTTCAGAGGGGCAGGTTGAAGGGAGGAGAGACTTCGGAGCCTGGAGGAGGGAGGTGGGCTTGGGTGTGGACGTGCTTTTTGTAGGTTGGCAGGGGCTGGAGGTTGCTCTAACTGCCTCGTTTTTGTGGGGGAAGCACCCGGTCAGTTCTGCTGAGCTCTGGGGGAGCCAGTGGCTTTGGGAAACTAGTGAGGACTTAGCGTATGTGTTGAGGAGAGTGGGAGAGGGAAGAGAGTCAGGATAAGGGAAAAGATGGCTGGATGGGAGGTGTACTGCTGCTGGAACAAACTGCCACGAACGTAGTGGCCTAAATCAACACAAATTCACAGCGCTGCAGGTTAGAACCCAACACGGGCCTCACTGGGCTAAAACCAAGGTGTCTGATAGCCACCTTAAAGAAGCAAAAAGAAATAGGTAAGTTTTTGTTGTTGTTGTTGTTTTTTGAGACAGACTCTCGCTCTGTCGCCCAGGCAGGAGCGCAGTGGCACAATCTCGGCTCACTGCAACTTCTGCCTCCCAGGTTCAAGTGATTCTCCTGCCTCAGCCTCCCGAATAGCTGGTATTATAGGCATGCACCACTATGCCTAGCTAATGTTTGTATTTTTAGTAGAGACGGGGTTTCACCATGTTGACCAGGCTAGAGAAATAGGTAAAATTAATCTGAATAATTTATTTAAATCAACATAGCCAAAATACTATCATTCAATATATAATGAATATAACATTATGAAGATTTTTTGCATTCTTTTTGTTTTACTAAGTCCTGAAAATCCAGTGTGTAGTTCATACTCGTAGTGCGTCTAAATTTGGGCCAGCTATGGTTCAAGTGGCAGCAGCAGCCTGTGGCTGGTGACTGCGTACTGGGCCGCACAGGCTGCAATGCTCTCCCCCATCTCTTTGCAGGTTCATCTCATTCCTGTCTCTGCCCAGAGCCACCTTCCCTGGCCATGCTGTCTAAACCAGCCACCTCTCACTCCTAGCACTGCCTCCTTTTCTCCAGAGACTTTTCACTATCTGCTATTTCATTAGTTTTTTGTTTACTGTCTGCCCTCCTGCCTCCACCAGAGGCTATAAATCCCATGCAGGCAAAGACCTCTCTATCTGTCCTCTTTAGTGCTATATCCCCAGCAACTATGTGACATTCATGGGAGACTCTCCACAAGTATTTACTAGATGACATTGAAGATTCCAGATTCGTCATGTGTCATCTCTGAAGTCAATGTCCACTGAGTAGGATGTTGGAGGAGGGGCGAGAGGAAGGAGCATTATGTAAGACGTAAGGTGGGAGGAAGCTGGTCCAAATCCTCTGTGAGATGAAAGGCTTACTCCTGGATGTCAAGTTTAGGGCTGGGACTCCTGATGGCAGCATTTCCTTCCAACTGCGACCCGGTTGTGTGTAGTTTCAACCACTAGCTTATCTGGTTTGACGAGAAACCATCCACCGAGCAGCATTTCTGCCTGCTACCAGTAGATGGGGGCAGTGTCATTAAAAAAGTACACTGCAGTTTCTAACCTGTTTCCCAGCTCCACTTTGCTGACAGTCTGTTCTGGAGTTGCCCTGTCTCAGATCTGTGATGTGGACTCCCACATGGTGCTGCCAGCTCTCCCAGCTGAAGAAACGCAGCCTTAATTGTGATGTGTGCTTCAGGTGGGGTGGTCAGCTTCTCCATAAGGTGAGGCGGGCCCTAGAGGCTGGCACAGGTCCAGGCCACAAGGGGACCGCGGGTTCTCCTCCAGGGCATGACTCACACCAGGGTGTTCACACTGGCCTAGAACCTTTCTGTTCTCCCAAGGTTGGAAACAAGCTTATTAGGAAGGCGGTCAAGGCGTGACATAGCCTCGTCAACAGGAGCAGCTCTGTGGGCCTGTGCCGCTGGGACTGGCACTCCGGCTGCTGCTGAACAGCCCGGCCCACCAGTAGACTCCTCCCTGCCTCTGTGGGCCACTGGGGTCCATGCCACTGCATGAAGTGCAAAGTGGTGCCTCTCGCTGAGGCTGAGACCAGCCTTAGCTCCTGCTACTACTCCCTCTTCCTCTTCCCCAAACCCTCTTGAGCCTTGGAACTTTGAGCGATTTGGAAATGATCACTGCTTAAACATGATGTCTGCTTTTGTGGAGTTCAAGATTATGGACCTACTAAAGGTCACTGAACACAGCCTCATTTGATATGTTTTTACCAGAGTTTTTGTTCTTTAGAGCGTGTGCTATCTCCTTCATTGCCACTACAAGATAGCCTAGAAATTTAAGGAATTAATGTTGCCTTAAATGGCTTATTATAGTACTAACTACCTCATTCCAACAGCATGTCTGGTATCCCTCCATTAACCCATCAGTGCAGCTGAGGAGTAAGGCATTATAGCTCTGGTTGAAGGACCCTGTGGGGCCAGTTAGCCATGAAGAGGCCATTCCTTCCCTTGGAGTGTAAGAGAGCCAAAAAACACAATCAGGAAGGTTTATTCTTTGATTGTTACAAGCTCCATCTTAATTACTACATGTGTATGCATTTTCTTTCTTTCTTTCTTTCTTTTTTTTTGAGACGGTCTCACTGTGTCATCCAGGCTGGAGTGCAGTGGCGCGATCTCGGCTTACTGCAACCTCCGCCTCCCGGGTTCAAGGGATTCTCCTGCCTCAACTTCCCAAGTAGCTGGAATTACAGGCGTGCACCACCATGCCCAGCTAATTTTTGTATTTTTAGTAGAGATAGAGTTTTGCCATGTTGGCCAGGCTGGTCTTGAACTCCTGACCTCAAGTGATCCACCCGCCTCAGCCTCCCAAAATGCTGGGATTACAGGCGTGAGCCACCGCGCCTGGCCTTATGCATGCATTTTCATGCTTCTGTAATTTTGCTACCCTCTATACCCATAAAGCCCTTCAGTCTTTTCCTATTTGGATAAATTCTGTTTATCTTTCAAAGGTCACCACCTCCATGAAGCCTTTTCTGATTTTCCTAGTCACAATGAATGCTTTCTTCCTCCAGCTTCTCATAGTGCTTTGAGTCTTTCTCATAGCATTTAGCCCACTCTGTCTTCTTGTCCACATGCATATCTTGCTCATTAATTCTAGTTACTGAGTGCCTATTTGTACCATATTGGGGATACAGGGTACTTGCAGAGAACCCACAGTCCAGTGGAAACCCAGAGTTGGGTAGAGTTTACAACCTTCATTGGACTAGGAGGCAGGAATCCCGTCTGCTCCTAGCTCAGGGCCGGGCACCAAAAGGTAGTCAGAAAAGTAACTTAAATGGAAACTCAGCAAAGTAACTTAAATGGAAACTCAGCATCAACGACTCTGAGAAAATTGAGTTAGATTTCAAAGGAAGGTTAAAAGTTGGCAAAGGTAGAGGGTGGGCAGGGGTCAGTTTTATTTTGTTGGAATATCCCAAGGGAATTTCCAGGTATGGTTGCAGTGACTCTGGCATGAAGACCTGGCGTGGAAGCCAGAGACATCAAAGATCCCCAGGGGACTGGGATGGTGGGAAGGGATCACTGTCCTCCTCCAGGACCAGGCTGGGAGTTTGATGCAGGATCATTCGGACATTGATCCCACTCCAGCCATACGTCTTTTTGCTTTGACTGACCATACCATAGAGGCAAGCAGGCTGTTTCAAGGGCCCAGAAATGAGTTACTGGCTAAGGGTCAAGCCGGTCAGAAGACAACTACACTGTCCAGTTGGCACATGATAAAAGCAATACTGATGCAATTATCACTCCCATTGGAGGGTGGCCTGGCATTATTTGTCACTTAAATAAAAAACGTCATTTGAATTTTTACTAGGAATTCTCATCCAAAATATGTCAATGATAGAATGAAACCGCATGACCGGCTTGCCAAAGTAAACTAAGTCCTAACGACACACGAGCATTAGAAATTGTGTGTATCTCAGAAAACTGCTCTACCCTGAGGCCTGACAGCAGGAGGGGGTCTTGCCGGGGTTCGGACGGGGAAAAGCCTTATTCATTGACGGTATTCTACAGTAGTCACCCCAATCATGTTACCACTCACCTCACTTTACACTGTCTGCTGCTTACCTGTGAATACGAGCTCAAGATAGTGAGAGATAAGCCTTGGTGTTTTCTGTGCCTCTCTCTTTTCTTTAATGGAATACAATTCTGAAAATAATATTAAACAGCACCCAGTCATTCTCAGAAAGCCGTCACACAAGGAAGAAACCACTATTTTCCCAAACTTTTTGTACAGGAAATTATAATCTGTAATCTCATCTTCTGCCACCTCCCTCAGAAGTTTCGATCTAGACATACATGTATTCAGTGAGTGGCAATTCAGCCTGGGGGGTGGAGTGTCAGGATTCAAATCTTTTTGCTGCGGGGTAACCCCAGGTCCCAGTGATTTCCATAGACAAAAGAGATGCTGGTAAATTTGGGATGTAATTGGAGGATTGGACCGGTCTCCCCGCTCCCTCGACCAATGGCTGTCACGCGGTCCCTTTAAGAAACCAGGAATCCGCCCGGAGTCGGAGCCCAAAACAGATCCTCTTCTCTGCTCCTCCCCTGTCCCCGCGCGGCGAATGGTTCGCGCCGGCCTATATTTACCCGAGATCTTCCTCCCGGACGGCAAGGATGTGAGGCAGGCGAGCCGGACGCCGCTCGCAGCACCGGAGAGGGCGCACTGCAAAGGCGGGCAGCAGACCGTGGAGAGCCCGGGAGCGGAGCTGGACACCGCCTCGGAGGGAAGAAATGAGGTAGCGGCGGTTCCCGGACCCGGCCATGCCCGTCCCCTGTTCTCGGAGCCCAGCGCCGTCTCGGCCAGGCCAGCCCGGACACTGAGCGGGCCGAGCGCGAGTCCCCGGCGTCCGGCGGAGCGAAGATGCAGTGAGTCCCCGCGGGACTGCTGCGCGGGGCCCGCCGCGGCCAGCCGGACCCAGCATCCGACCGCACTTTGGGCGAGCTGCTGACTTGAGACCAGCCCAAACGGGGGGCTTTCCATCTCCAGCACCCCTCGGAGGTGGGGAGCACCGGCCCCTAGGCACACTCGCTGTAGAGTTTCCGCGGGTTTTGGCCCCAGTCCTGAGGGTTGTGTGTGTTAGGGGACCCACCTCACGTTCGCCGAGGAGTTCCTGCATATTCTTGCACCATCCCGGGTGCTGTTGCTGGGGCTCTCTTTATTTGCACGCGCGCTTCTAGCTTTTTTCCTGACATTTTCCACTCTACGCTCGTTCTTTCTCCCTTGCATTTTGTTGCTTGCCTGAGACTCTTTGCTCTCGCCCTTGCCCAGGCTGGGGTAATTCTGTGTGCGCGCGTGTCTCCCCCGCACCAACCTTTTTTGCACACTCGAAGCTGAATATTTTCTTTTTTAGAGAATTTACCCGCACCTCCTGCGGGGTTCCTAAGCACTCTCTCTGCTCCCCTCCCCCCAACTCCCTACCACAGGGCCGCTCCCAGTAGTTTTATTCTTCGATCTTGCCCGGGCCGAGCCTGGCAGGGGCCGGTGGCTCAGCGGGCCTCGCACCCGGCGCTCCGCCGCCGCCGCCGCCCAGCTGCGCCGGGGCGCCCTCCGGAGATGCTGCCGTGGAAGAAGCACAAGTTCGAGCTGCTGGCCGAGGCGCCGCCGCGGCAGGCGTCCAAGCCCAAGGGCTACGCTGTGAGCCTGCACTACTCGGCGCTCAGCTCGCTGGCGCGGGCGTGCCCCGAAGGCGCGCTTAGCCGGGTGGGCAGCATGTTCCGCTCCAAGCGCAAGAAGCTGCACATCACTAGCGAGGACCCAACTTACACCGTGCTCTACCTGGGCAATGCCACCACCATCCAGGCGCGCGGCGACGGCTGCACCGACCTTGCTGTGGGCAAGATCTGGAGCAAGAGCGAGGCGGGCCGTCAGGGCACCAAGATGAAGCTGACGGTGAGTGCGCAGGGTATCCGCATGGTGCACGCCGAGGAGCGCGCGCTGCGCCGCCCGGGCCACCTCTACCTGCTGCACCGCGTCACCTACTGCGTGGCCGACGCGCGGCTGCCCAAGGTCTTCGCCTGGGTGTACCGGCACGAGCTGAAGCACAAGGCCGTGATGCTGCGCTGCCACGCCGTGCTGGTGTCCAAGCCCGAAAAGGCGCAGGCCATGGCCCTGCTGCTCTACCAGACGTCGGCCAACGCGCTGGCGGAATTTAAACGCCTCAAGCGGCGGGACGACGCGCGTCACCAGCAGCAGGAGCTGGTGGGCGCACACACCATCCCGCTAGTGCCGCTGCGCAAGCTGCTCCTACACGGACCCTGCTGCTATAAACCGCCGGTGGAGCGCAGCCGCAGCGCGCCCAAGCTTGGCTCCATCACCGAGGACCTGCTCGGCGAACAGCTGGAGCAGGAGCTGCAGGAGGAAGAGGAAGAGGAGCAACCCGAGGGCTGCCCGGAGGAGGAGGAGAACCGTGCGGCAGAGGGAGATCCAGCAGAGGAGGAGGCCGAGGCGCAGCGTGCGCTAGTGGTCGCCATGCACTTTGAGTGCGGGGACTTGTTGGATACTCTGGAGAATGGCCGTGGGGAGGCGCTAGGAGGCGGCGGGGGCTCCCTGGGCCCGGGGGCCGGGCCGCCGCCTCTGCTGCTGGGCAGCGCCTCCGACATGAAGGCTGAGCTGTCGCAACTTATTAGCGACCTGGGCGAGCTCAGCTTCGGCAACGACGTGCGCACCCTGCAGGCCGACTTGCGGGTGACGCGCCTGCTGTCAGGCGACAGCACGGGCAGCGAGAGCTCCATCGAGGGCGGGGGCCCTGACGCCACCTCCGCCACCGCCGGGGACTCGTCCCGCCAGGCCGACGGCGCCAGTGCAGACGAGCCCCACTCGGGCTGAGCTCCTCCGCGCGTCGCCGGCGCTCCACCGTGGCTACCCATCCGTGGTCCCGACAACCTCCCTGTCCCTTGCCCGCCCCCAGGAAGGGGGAAATGGGGCATTTGGGGCCCAGACCTACACTTGGAGCCCAGGTCCAGCGTTCCCCCGACCGCTTTCCCCTACCTCCCGGCCCCCGCTCCCGCCCCAGCACTTTTGGCTCTGTTGCGCGTGGGGATGCGGGGAGATTTGAGAGGGGAAAACCCCGCCAGGAGGGAGAGAGAGGCACCCCTCTGGGATGCGGGTGAGGGAAGGTTGGCTGAAGTTCCTAGTCTCAGGCCGTAGGTGCCTGGCCAGTTTCCTGTTTGTGGGGCAGCTGGGGCCTGAGGAGGAGGGGTTCACTTCCTCCTCCCACCCCCTGGGAGCGGCCCTGCGCTGTCACTGACATCTCATTAAAAAAAAAAAAAAATTTGCTCTCAAGGTGTTTGAGGCTTTAATGCAACCCTTTAGCCCTTGGTTCTTTTTGGTGCAAGAATTCTGGCTGTTTACCTCAGACTCAGACCCCTGAAATGTTGCCAAATTCTTCAAATAACTGTTTGGGGGGTGGGGGGAGATGAAAGAGAGTCGCGTTTTGTTTACAGTTAAAGACATCCAATATCTTAAAAAGGAGTTTTCCTTTAGAAACACACACACCCTTCCTCTTGCTCAAAAGATCTCACTCCATGATACTGTGTAAAATATTTTTGCACTGTTGTGAAGTATTTTTGACTTTTTTCTGTACATAACTGTGTTCTCAGAGCTGAATGTTTATATCTTTTGCTGTGCAAAAGAAACATGTAAAATGTTGTTCAGTTGTATATACAGAAATGTGTATAAAACATTTTGTTATTTTTTAAAAGTAGCACTGTTCTGGTTCTGTTTGCACGCCAGTGGGGAGAGAATAAAGAGGAAAATTTAACAGAACAGGTGAGCGTCTGGAACTGCTGCGTTGGGGTGGGAGAGGCTGTGTCTGACCCTGGGATGGTGTCATAAGACAGTCTTTGGCCTTTCCTGTGCTTGGAGAGAATTAGGGAAGGAAGGTCCACTTTATGCGCCATCTGGGGCCTTCCTGGACCTCCACAACTCTGGGTGCTGTGTCTGGGACCAGCCTTTTCTTGTATTATCCTGTATTTTTCAGTAATTAAGTTGTGTGATCTTTTTCTGGTCTTTTGGAGAGGCCACGGTGAGTTCCATATCGCACTCCCAGACCTGTGAGGTTATTTATGGAGGAGTGACTTCCAGATCTGCTGAGATTTTACTACCTCCTTCTGTGGGCCATGCTAATAATCAAGCGTAAGGAGACTACCTTATCTTTTCCTTTACAAACAGCTCAGGGAGCTTTAAAGATGAACTAGAAACCCAAAGAGGAGTTCTCTGAGGAGTGGGGCCATCTCTGTTTTTCCTGGGAGGAAAACCAAGGAGAGAAAAGTTGACAAGTTCCGATCCTGGTGTGAGTGAGTCACGGTGCAGGTGGGTGGGTGGCTGGGCAGGCTGCAGAGCCCATTTCCTTCCCTTCTACAACCCAGTGTGACCCAGTTGGGGGATGGCGCGAAGGTCGAGGGGGAGAGGAGCTGTTAGAGCGCGGTATGGGTGTGCATGTTTCAGCGCTTTCATGCTTTCTGTGTGTTTGTTTCTGTTGTAAACTCCAAACAGATGTCTCTAGTTTGGCTACACCCGATCAGCTGGAAGTTGTAATAAGATGCTGCCAAAACTGTGCCTTCTGCAAATTATATTTTCCTTTTGCCCCTTGAGGCCTCTCTTCCTGTGTTGCAGAAATGGATCTCACTCCTGGCCTTCCCTGGTGTCCTGAGGCCACTTTGCTTTGTTTTCATCATAAATATGTTCTGAGCAGCTAGACCCAGAAATCCTAAGGAGTCTGGAATTCACTGGAACCATAGAGGAAAGAGGGGTGAAAGATTTTCTTCCTAATTAACAGGAATGGTTCAGGCATAGAACTATCTTTAAAAAAGAAAAGCAAAGGGGGCGAGTGGAAAATATGTGTGTGTGTGTGTGTGTGTGTGTGTGTGTGTATATATATATATATTTTTTTTTTTTTTTTGAGACGGAGTTTCACTCTTGTCACCCAGGCTGGAGTGCAATGGTGCAATCTCAGCTCACCGCAACCTCCACCTCCCGGGTTCAAGCGATTCTCCTGCCTCAGCCTCCCAAGTAGCTGGGATTACAGGCATGCGCCACCACGCCGGGCTAATTTTGTATTTTTAGTAGAGATGGGGTTTCTCCATGTTGGTCAGGCTGGTTTCAAACTCCCGACCTCAGGTGATCTGCCCACCTTAGCCTACCAAAGTGCTGGCATTACAGGCGTGAGCCACTGTACCCAGCTGAGTGGAAAACATTTAAAAAAAATTCAGTCTTAAGGGCCTTAGGACGTCCAGGCCTTTGAATCTATTATATTTTGGCTTGGTTGTGCGTCCCGATCCCTCTCCCTGAATACCTCAGATACACATCATTGAATGACATTAAAAACCCCAGCTAGAGAGAGGTCAGGAAAGTCCAGTCTCAGCCCAGCCACCCATCCCAGCCCTTCCACACCAGTGTGCTCACCTGATAAGCAGACGGCTGTGTGGGCCATCACTAGCCTGCGTGACTAGATTTCACATTTGAAATTATTCCCATGCATAGCCAAGTTCCTCTGCTGTTTGAAACTGATGAAGAGATGAGACAGAGTGAAGATAATATGGCTAATACTTGGGAGACAGGGCAGGGTCTGTGTGTCTTCATTCTTATCTAGTTTAAGTGTCCTGTGAGAATGCCAATGTTGGCTTTCATCTGTGACTGACAGGCATGTGGTGGTTGGTCCAAAAGTTCAGGCAAATAGTGTTGAAACCAACACCATCAATAAATATAAAGCAGCCATCTCTTTAAAGTCTGATATTTCCTCTCATGTGATTTATAAATAGGAAGGGGGGCTTGAAGGTTGAGGAGGAGGAAGAAGAAAATAAGCAGGCTGGAAAGAGCCAGCTCCCTTCCTCCTCCGTCTGTGCCCTCCCCATCTCTCCTTCCTCCCCTCTGCTTTTTGGCATCGATCCCCACTGCACCTCAGAGCTCTGACTGATGTAATTCTAGAAGAGATGTGAAGGTGACACGTGATTCACCTCTTCTGACTTCTCAGTCTTCCAGGGATGATATCACTAGAGTAAGAAGAGATGTTTTGAATGAAAATAAAAGAAAGACCCTAAAACTACTTTGCTCCTGGAGCTCAGAGGGAAAAGAATGGAGCGACAAAAGCAAAGCTAAGTCATTAGATAAAATACACCTTCCAGAAAACACCTGAAGTCTGGTTTACTCATCAAATTTAGCTTTTCTTTCCTGCAAAGTGAGGCTCATGTTTCTCCATGACTTAACCTGATGGTACTTTAAATGCACTGAGACACTTTCCACGTTCTTTCCCAGCCTAGGTAATCCTCCGTGTTCAACAATGCAGCATCGACTGCATGAAAAACAGGGTGACTCCCGGCGGCACGCGGTCCTCCAGGGGTGGCAGCGTGAGTCTGGGAGGAGGCATTCATCGACTCCTCACAGCACAAACATCCCATGTTCACTTCTACCATTTGTCGCATATGTAAGCAGGAAGGTGGGAGGAATAAAATGGCATAAAATAAACAATAGTATTTCATACCCTCCCAACTATGACAGCTTCAGAGAACCCCCTCCACACACACGTGTGTGGACACACATGGTTTCCCTAAAGAAACACCTCTCACTGCCCCACAGTCAGCAGAACAGATTTTAACCAAATTAGAAAGGCTCTGTTATACTAAGAAAGCACAATTCCCTCCCAGGGGACAGAGCTGTTTTTGAGGGTTCTGCTTGTGAGTAGAGAGAGAACTGGTTGGAAGAATCTACCCCTGGCACCATACTGGAGATTTAAAAATCTCATTGTAGTTGCCAAGGATCACGAGAAACATAGAAATTCTATTAGGAGCAAGTTGCCGTCTTTTTAAACAGGATTTAGTAATTTAATAAGCAGAACTCTTTCCTCTGTGTGGTATGCATCAGTAGTCCCAGCATCTGCTGCTAAGTGATGCATGACAGAGCTAGAAATGTGCACGGACTGCTGGGGTAGGAGCCATGACTGACACATGGGGAACTACTCAGGGCTCCAGGCAGCCAGGAGGGTGCTAGGCCCAGGGCGCTCTGCACTCTCTGCTCCAGGCTTGTTGCACATGTCCACTGTCTTAGTCCGTTTCGTGTTGCTATAAAGAATACCTGAGGCTGGGTAATTTATTTATATTTATTGATTTATTTATTTTGAGACAGAGTTTCACTCTTGTTGCCCAGGCTAGAGTGCAATAGCATGACCTTGGCTCACCACAACCTCCATCTCCCGGGTTCAAGCGATTCTCCTGCCTCAGCCTCCCGAGTAGCTGGGAATATAGGTGCCCTCCACCTCACCCGGCTAATTTTGTGCTTTTTTTTTTTTTTAGTAGAAACAGGGTTTCACCATGTTGGTCAGGCTGGTCTTGAGCTCCTGACCTCAAGTGATCCACCCGCCTTGGCCTCCCGAAGTGCTGGGATTACAGGCATGAGCCACCATGCCTGGCAAGGCTGGGTAATTTATAAAGGAAAGAGGTTTATTTGGCTCAAGGTTCTGCAGGCTGTACAAGAAGTGTGGTGCCAGCTTCTGCTCTGGTGAGGCCTCAGGCTGCTTGCACTCATGGCGGGAGGTGAACTGGAGCAGGAATCAAATGGCAAGAGGAAGGAAGCAAGAGATAGGGAGAAGGGCAGTGCCAGGCTCTTTTGGACAACCTGCTCTCGAGTGAGAGAGAAATCACTCATTGCCTCCGTCTCCCCACAGGGAGAGCATTAACCTATTCATAAGGGATCCACCTCCATGACCCAAATACCTCCCATTAGGCCCCACCTCCAACACTGGGATCAAATTTCAAGAAGAGATTTGGGGGAACAAATATCCAAACTACAGCGGCCACACCTGGATCTGGCTTGACCAGTAGCCGGGGCCGTTTCTGTTCCTTCTGGCTCACCCCTGTTCGTAGGCCCAGTGTCCCCTAGACCAAACCCCCACTGCTTGCTCTAAAGCTCTTGTGACCCAGTTTGAGCGCCTTGACTAACCATCGTCTTGGTGGTTTGAATGGTGAGAAGATGGCCCTGGAACTTGGCACTCCTTCCTTCCTCTTTCTTGAGCTGCTCAGTGGTACCAGAAAAGGACCTTGTTTCTAACCCTCCATGGGGAGTGACATTTCTGAAGGCCTCCTCTTCTCCCCTCCTCTTCATCTCTACCCCTTCCTCCTTCTCCAGTTCACACCTCATTCCCCTATGGCACAGCTCCCCATCTGAATTTCTCCTTTCCACAAACCTAGCTGATATCTTATATTGCCTGAAAGAAAAGATAGCCCAGGCTTTAAAGGAAAAGCAAACCAAGCACAGAGGCATCAGCCAGCACCAATCCTGCAACTCCAGGGCATGCTAAGGGACCAAGACCCACGGGTCCAAACTCCTAGACTGATGCGCTTTTAATAGGCCTCCAGTTATTTTATTTTATTTTTTTGAGACAGAGTCTTTCTCTGTCACCCAGGCTAGAGTGCAGTGGTATGATCTTCACTCACTGCAGCCTCTGCCTCTGGGGTTCAAGTGATTCTCCTGCGTCAGCCTCCAAGTAGCTGGGATTAGAGGCGTACACCACCACGCCCAGCTATGTTTTTAAATTTTTAGTAGAGGCGAGGTTTCGCTATGTTGGCCAGGCTGGTCTCGAACTCCTGACCCCAAGCGACCCGCCGGCCTTGGCCTCCTAAAGTACTAGGATTACAGGCGTGAGCCACTGCACCCAGCCTAGGCCTCCAGTTTTTCTGGCATATAAATAAATTGTTCCCTTTGGGATGGCAGAAACTGGCATTTGGATTTCCCCTTACTTTCCCCCTTATTTGTACTCCCACATTTCATACATGGTAGCTGCTTGATGAGAACTATTTCTGACATTGTTCAGCAACCCCCCCCCCACCCCCTACTCCCCAGACCAAGTGTGAATGAATATGTACTAGATGCATGACGCTGGAGGTAAAGAGGCCGGGGGTCTGTCTTCCTGGGGAGAATGCTGCCGGTGGGTGGGGTGCAGCCCCCAGGGGAACTTCGTCTTCTTTTGCTCCCACCCTTGGTATCTGGTGTGGTGAGACCCCATCCTAGAAGAGTGGATCTAGTTTGTGGGTGGAGAAGCTCTTGCCATTGTATCATGGATATGAATCATTTGTGTCCTTCCTGGTTGGCTGAATTCTTCAAGGACAGGCATATGTCTTAGGCAGCTCTGATTTACCTCACTTAACATGGGGTCTGGCACCTAGTAGGTACTCAGGAAATGCAAAGGAAGGAGTAAAGGAGTGATTCCACTCCAGGAGAGAACAGGTCTAATCAAGTTCAAGGTCATTGTCCAGAAGTAGGAACCAAGGTTTCAAGGATATATGTTTGGTGAGGAGGGAAAATTGGAAATCATTCAATTCCTCACCTCTCCATGAGGTATATTTAATTCCCAAGAATTTCCTTGGAATGTCCCTGACCTTCTAGGGAGGGGTGGTTCTGGTTTGGAGAAGGATGGTTTATTTGGAATCGGCTTTGAACGGAATTGGAGTCTTATCCCTGCTCATCCCAGCCCCAAATTAACTGCCCAAACCTCCCTAAATTGTGCCAAATGAAGACTCAAACAATGTGATGGTGTGGCAGAAAGCCAGGGAGACACGGGTCCAGGCCTGGAGAGCCCTGGACTTCCTCAGTGTGTGAGTCAATCAAGTCACTTCCCCTCTCCAGCCCCAGGATCATCCCAGGTAAAGTGGGTGCCCTTGATTAGACAATAACAAGACTTTCACTATTGTGACGTAAAGAAGCCAAGGTTAAGGTCAAGAGTGTTTCTCCCTTCCCCCTTTCCCTAGTAGGACAAAACAGAAGAAGCCTCTGACTATGGGCTAGAAACTATCTCGGGCTCTGAGGACAGGGCTCGTCTTCAGGACCTACGTTCCTGGACCTTCACCAACGTCTGGTTTGGAAGTGACATTCCCTTGGCGAAGCCAGGAACCAGCTAGTAGATATCCCTTTCATTACCTCAAAACTTAGAGGCCATGGTGGGTCCTGAAACGGCAACTGGCACTGAATCCAAGGGCCAAGTTAGGGTTCAGAGAAGTGCAATCGCTTGCCTAAGATTACTCAGCAAGCTGGGACCAGAACTCAAGGCCCCTGACTCCAAGTCCTACACTCTTTCCCATGAATCCTTTAAGGTGGGGATAAGTTAGTATGGAGGCAACCCAGGGTACTGTCCAAGGAAACTTGGCAGAGCCTAAACATCTGGTCAAAGGCCGTGAGGGCATCTGGCAGCAGGGAGTTTGGGGCTCCTGGCAAGGGAGACCAAGACCCACTTGAGGAAGTCTGGGAAGAAGAGTGAGTTGATGGCCTGGGGAATGCTTCCCTGTCTGTCTTGCAGCAGGCTCCTCCTGCTCCAGGACTCACCCCCATCCTGGATTCTTTCTCTAAAAGGGTTGGGTCTTGGCTGATGACTGGGGAGTCTCCCTACCCTCTGCTCCAGGATTAGCCAATCATGGCTCACCAGTTCATTTCAAAATCTTGAGAGCCAGACACAACCTCATCACCCCTTGGTTCCAATCCTTTCATTTTACAGATAGGGAAACTGAGGCCCAGAGAGGGGAAAGGACTTGTGCGTGTGCCACAGGAAGCTTACAGCAGAGCCAGGATTAGAACCCAGGTTTTGTTTTCCCCAGTCTCTTTCTAAGATGCCACACTGCCCTCTTTCAGACACTCTCAGCAACAATGTAGGGAGCCCCACTGCCCTGGGGACACCAGCCAGTTGTAAGTGTGTGAAGCTTAGGGCTCTCCCCCTTCTCACGCTGCTAAAGTCTCCACTTTTGCCACCTCAAGCTATTGTTCCTCAGTCTACAGTGAATATCCCAAACACTCGCCTAAATGACTTTTCCATGGACCTGACAGTTTAATAGGGGACTCCCAAATATTAAAAGTCTTTGAGATCTAAAAGGCCAAATATTAAGGCTATTTTTAGGCACCATGATGGGAGGAGGCCAGCGTGGGCAGTAACAAATATTTCAGTGCAGGGAGTACTTTTAATCACTTTATGGATGTTCTCCTAACACCATAAGCCATGTTCCTAAAGGTTCCAATCTTGCAGCTGAACTCCTGCCCAGAGAAAGAGAAAACGAAGTTGCCAAGGTCACATGAGTTCAAGGAGGGAGGGTGGGTCGGGACGCTGGGTCCTGCATCAGCACTCTCTCAGTTCTGTGTTCCAGTTCAGGGCTCGCCAATGATTCCCAGGTACCATTTACAGATCTACAAAACCATCAGCAGTTCCTTACCCACAGCTTCTCTCTGTCTTCCCGCAAGGCTTCCCCTGTAGGGAAACCTACCTTCATCTTTGTACGTCGACCTGCCCCCGGTGGCTGTGATTCCCAGGGGAAACCTTTGCTGGTGCTCACCACCTGATTTCCAGTGGAGGAGCTCATCTCTTCAAAAGAGCAGCATGTGATTCAGTGCTACTGTTTGTGTCTGCACCAAACCACGCTGCTTATCTGAAAGAGATCCACAGACACACCCAGGTGTATGAGGCCTTCCCTCTCTTGCGTCTGCAGCAGTGGTTGCAGATGAAAGAAACTTACAGAGTCCATGGCTGGTCGGATCTTTCTGGAGGTGTCCACACTGATGAGATCAAAACAGGTTCCAGTCATAAGCGACAAATCTGCCACTCCATTCCTCTGCCCCAGGTCTTGGCACGTGTCCAACGTTACCTGACAAAAGTGGAATTGGGGGCTGGATGGGGTAGGGTGGTGAGGCTGTAAGGTATAGCTAAGGAGAAAGGCACCTAAGACCCAGTTCTAGCGCTGGTTTTCCCATATATTAGCCCTTTGACCTTGGGCAGGCTTCCTTTTGGCACCAATTCTTGATGTGAAATAGAGCTGGTAATACCTAATCAAACTCTCTCTTTCAGGTTGTGTTTAGGCTCAAAATCTAAATGTTGGACCAGTAAGGGCCTTGTAAAGTGCAGTACGGGAAAGGAGTGGTTGCTGCTGGAGTACTCACACGGAAAGAATACAGTCTGGCTGGGTGAGCTTCGGTGAGGCTCGCCCACGGAGCCAGTGTGCCAATGGGTAGGAAGGTTTTCAGAAACATATCTCACGGCCCAAGGTGGGAAAACCCGAAAAAATGAAGGAATTTATTAAGAGTAGGAAGCAGTAGGTGGGTATTTGAATGGCATACTTCATGTGGAAACATTACGGGCTAAGTTTCCATCCAAAATGCTCGATATCCACATGGGCTACATGGCCATCTCCAGCCCAATCTCTTCCCTCAGCTGTGGCAGGAGAGCACGGCGGCTGCCCTATGCTCTCTGGCTGCATTTTTATTTGTTCCATATAATGGGATTCATTTAGTCAGCATTTGATTATCAGCCCAGATCAGTATTACTGATGTGATTAGTGTTCTATACTCAAGCACACACACACGCACAACCGCCCAAAACTTTCCACAAATATTTGCAATTGTGATTTCATTTACCTCTCAAATAGATGTCCCTGAAGTGGACACACATCCTCTTAAAGTAATTCTTTAGACTGATTATTTTCTAGAAAAGCGGAGGTTCTGAGATTTTTCTTGGAAACATATGCAGGGAGAGTATACACAAGAACACGTGGGATCCTCTTATCCTGCTAGAACGGTGGTGTGTGTGTGTATACATGTGTGTGTTCCTGTGGGTAATCCTGGGACTGTGCTCTAGGGTGGATATGAGCTGTATTGTCAACTCAACCTGTTGTGCTTGGCATTGGTGTGAAATGATCAGTGAAAACTCATAGCGCAATGAGAGAGCGGTGCGATCCTCCCAGGTTTCCGCCAAAAAACCCTTCAGATCACAGCATCCTTTCCTTTCCATTGTGCTCTGAGTTTTCTTCTTTGTTTGCTTTTAATATTAAATGTTCTTAAACTAATTGAAACCACTGATTCCCTTTGAGAATGCTCTGTATTGCTGGAGACCATGGTCCAAAGACGCCTACTGCTATGATGACTGTGGATAATTACAGTAGAGCTGCCTTTCACCCTCAGGGTATCCCAGTTTGATGAAAAATGATAAGTGATATAGCCAACCCCCTGTAACCTAGGCAAATTTGTCAACCTATGCATGTCTTCATTCATTCATTTCTGTTCTCTCCTTCACTGAAGGGACATTCACAAGGTATCTCCTGTGTGCCAAGCACTGTGCTGGTTGTGGAGGGAGGTGGGAGAGTGTGGGGAAGGGGTGAGATTGGGGGATAAAGTGGGGGGCTGGAGGATGAACCCAGGGAGATGAGATGCAGTCCTTGCTCTTATGTCCAGCAGAAAAGGACAAAGCGGGTAAGACCAATCCAACATAAAGAGAGGCATGGTCAGTTTATGTGTAAAGTATTGAGGGAATATAGTGCAGGGGCAGCCAACCCACCCACGGGAGGGAGGGGTGATCACAAAGGGTTTCACAGAGGAGATGCTCTTCCTCTTTAACCATCAAAGTGGGTCTCCTCAAAGGCTCCGCCTGGAGTCACAAACCTGCCTGACTTAGGTTCTAGAGGAAGCATCATTCTCCAGAACTTTTTTTTTGGTGGTGGGGAGGTGTTTTTGGAAATCTCCTACCTGCAGCCTCTCTCCAGCCCTGTAGTTTTAAAGGCCACTTCAGAAAACCACTCAAGTTTTTTCCTCATTGGTCCATTTCTTGACCTGCACACTTGGCCACCAGAAAAAAATAGAGTATGGTGAGTATAATTAAATAGGGTAGAGATTACCAGCTGCTTTAATAAATCTCATACTCTTACTGGCTTGACATAATAAAAGATTAGTCCTCACTTATGCAATAGTCAGTATGAATACTCTTGGTTGCCAGGCATTCATTCAGAGACCCAGGCTCCTTCTACATTGTGGCTCCACCATCTCCTAGGGCAAGAGCCATGGGCCAAATTGAGTCTGCCAGCTGTTTGTAAATGAAGTTTTACTAGAACACAATCACACTCATTTACTTACGTATTTATGGCTGCTTTTGAACTCTGACAGCAGTTGCAACAAATACTGTGTAGCTCACAAGCCTAAAATATTTACATCTGGCCCAAAAACTTGTTTATCTCTATTCTAAGGTCTTGGAATTTCTGCATCTGGCCCAAGAATGTCCTCCAGTGGATAGAGAATGTGTATGATCATTTAGAACATTTTAATGGGCCAGGTCCAGAAGGGATACACACAACTTCTGCCCATGTTCCATTGGCCAGAACTCAGTTCGTGGCTATATGTCACTACAAGGGAAGCTGGGAAATGTAGTCTAGCTGTGTGCCCAGAAGAAAAGAGAAATGGAGAAATGGGCTTGGAGAAGAGGTGTGCAGACTCTGCAACAGGTGGAGGGGCAGGCCTACTCATCCAAGTCTGCATGTACACTGGAGATTCAATTTTTTGTTTTTTAGAAAGGATCTTGTTCTGTCACTCAGGCTGCAGTACAGTGGTGTGATCATAGCTCACTGCAGCCTTGATCTCCTAAGCTCCAGTGATCCTCCTGCCTCAGCCTCCTGAGTAGCTGGGACTACTGGTGTGTGCGATCACGGCTGGCTAATTTTTTAATTTTTACTTTTTGTAGAAATGGAAGTCTCGCAATGTTGCCCAGGCTGGTCTCAAACTCCTTGGCTCCAACAATCCTCCAGCCTCAGCCTCCCAAAGTGCTGAGATTACAGGTGTGAGCCACCATGCCAGGCCTGGAGATTCAAATCTTGTCCCAAACAGAAAAAGTACCTACTCTCTTGTCCTCTCTTCATTTTATGACCACTGGCTCAGGTTTATACAAACTAAGACTTTGGAAGGGTCATGGGGAAATCATTTATCTGTGTTTTGTGTAGGTGTTCATCATTCAGTTTGCACATGGTCCTAGGGGCTGCTTTAAATATAGGTCAGAACCCAGAGCCCAAGTAACTTCTCAGAAACAGACGCTGAAAATCACATTAGCTCGGGACTAGAAGGAACATTTGAGCTGGACTGTCTTTCCTTGGGAGGAGGGGCAGTCCCTGGATTCTTACGACCCTTAGGAGCAGGTCTCTCTTTCTCCTGGGACAGCCCAGCCCCTGGAAGGACAGCTCTGATTCTTGGAAAGGTCTTCTGAGATTTGTCTTCCTGTGACCTGTTGCACGGGTCCTCCCTCTGCACTGTGAGCTGCAGAGAGTGGGTCGCCTCATTTTTTCCCAGTGTGCCGGGCAGATCAGAAACCTGGCCACGACAGGCCTTCCACTCTACTTCCTTGTCAGACACAGCCACCCTAGGGAAGCTGCCTGTGCTCTTCTTTCCTGGAGGCCTCAGCTGCCTTTCGCCAGGGAGCCCAGACACCTGCTTTCCAGATGAGAGGGGGACCTAGATAGAGGTGTGAGTGCTCACTGCACGCTCTAGGAAGCCTCTAAGTGAGTCCACCCCCTGCCACGGCCCCCCTGAGATGCCTGACAGAGAAGCCACCGTCCGCTGTTAGAAACACTTCTATGAACTAGCTAATGCTTCACGCTGGCCTGGAGGGTGGGCAGGGTAGGTGGACCTTTACAGTCGCTTGGTGGGGCCACTCCAGTCCAAAGTCTGGCCTTCAGTTATGAGGGTCCTGAGGTAATACTGGGTTTCCATCCTTAAGAAGTTTACCTGCTTTATAATATATGGTAATATTTGGATTTTTTTTTTTTTGAGATGGAGTTTCGCTCTTGTCGCCCAGGCTGGAGTGCAGTGGTGCAATCTCGGCTCACTGCAAGCTCTGCTTCCCAGGTTTAAGCGATTCTCCTGCCTCAACCTCCTGAGTAGCTGGGATTACAGGCACCTGCCACCATGCCTGGCTAATTTTTTGCATGTTTAGTAGAGAGGGGGTTTTGCCATGTTGGGCAGGCTGGTCTTGAACTCCTGACCTCATGTGATCCGCCTGCCTCAGCCTCCCAAAGTGCTGGGATTACAGGCATGAGCCACCACACCTGGCTTGGATTTTTATTTTGTTTATTAGCATGTTACATTTGCAATAAACTAACCTGATTAAAAAGTAAAGAATTGCATAATGCATTTTTAGAGATATTTTGATTCAAAATGGTATTTTTAGAAAGGCTTATGGTACCTAACAGGATTATCTGGGAAATTTACTGGTATGGGTTTTAATGGAATACAGCATTACTTTATTATAAGTATTATCTTCTGATAACATTAGGAATACAACTGTTAATAGTTGAAATAGAGATATCATTATCAAGAAACAAAATGAAGGGAGGAAAGACAAAAGAAAGCAAAGGAAGCAAGCTGCATCTTTCCTGGAGGCTAACCAGCAGCTGAAGGAGAAGCGCAGGATTCAGACTCAGAGGCTGGGCTCGCCCCCGTCCCACAAGGCTCTCCTGTGACACTGTACATAGTGGTGTAATTCTCTGAGGTCCTATGCTCTCATCTGTAAATAGGGATGATTATACTACCTTACGACATAGTGCAATTCAAAGGAAATCACACATATAAGCCACCTTTTATGGAAAAGCGTACAAATGTGAGGAATTTTCATTGCTGTCCTCCTGGAGGAGCCTGGAGGTCAGGCTTGGGTTAGGTCTCAGCAGAATTAGGGAGTGTGCCAGGGATAGATTCTGACCACACTGCAGCTGAGCCTGCTGTTTCCTTTTCTAATTGCTTTCTGGGATTCCTGCTTCCCCCAAAACATGTTGAAGATGGAGACCAAGTATTTCCTTAGGAACTGCATTAGTAAAGGCCAGACTCTCGACTTGGTAGCCTCACCAAAGGACTGTCACCTTGGGAGGCTGTGTCTAGCCAGTGATCCCACCAGCCTTCCAAGCCTTTCTTCTTTTTCTTCTTCTTCTTTTTTTTTTTTTTTTTTTTTGAGATGGAGTCTTGCTTTGCTGCCCAGGCTGGAGTGCAGTGGTGCAATCTCGGTTCACTGCAACCTTCGACTCCAGGGTTCAAGCAATTTTCCTGCCTCAGCCTCCCAAGTAGCTGGGGCTACAGGCACGCACCACCACCCAGCTAATTTTTTGTATTTTTAGTAGAGACGGGGTTTTGCCATGTTGGCCAGGCTGGTCTTGAACTCCTAACCTCAGGTGATCCGCCTGCCTTGGCCTCCAAAAGTACTGGGATTACAGGCATGAGCCACTGCGTCTGGCCTCCAAGCCTTTGTTCTGAGGAGGTCGCTCTTCTATGGATGTGG
This sequence comes from Homo sapiens, assembly GCF_000001405.40. Taxonomy (NCBI): domain Eukaryota; kingdom Metazoa; phylum Chordata; class Mammalia; order Primates; family Hominidae; genus Homo; species Homo sapiens. The sequence continues at coordinate 194,702,314 of NC_000003.12, forward strand.
CACCTTTTAACTTATAAAGGATGCATGCGCTCAGATGCTTTCTTTCCTGATGTTCATAATCACCCAATGAGGCAGGCAGAGAGCAGTATTAGTAACTCAATTTCCAGATTCGAGCGATCTGGGGATTAAGGGGTGAAATGGAGTGGAAAAGAAAGCGACCACTAAGTGTTTAGAACCTGCCGTATGCAAACAAAGTGCTGGGCCAAAGCTGCGAGTTTCCCGTGGCGGTAGAGTAAGTAACAGGCAGAACTGGGGCTGGAGTCCTGGTCTCCTGATTCCAAGTGTTGTAGAATGGCACAAGGCAGAGGGGATTATGGGTAAGCGGTCCCGGGGAGGGCGGGTAGACCGGAGACGAACAGCGAGAGGCAGCGGAGGTGGAGAGGGAGGTTGGCAGTCGGCAAGTATGAGGCAGTGGGTGGGGTTGGGGCCACAGCTCCCATTATGTGGCTGTCATCAAAGTGCCCAAAGAAATAAAGGTTTGCAATTACAGGGAGACTTGGGTTTGGGAATCTCCCAGCAGCAGGGCCCAGATGTTAATTAAGCCTAAGATAGGTCATTATCCCTCTCCATTGGATTGAACAGAGGGAAACTTGATGCAGACGGCAGGTTAAAGGCTTGCCCATATGGCTGTTAGGTGTTATTATTTCTGGTTTTTAAGAGGCACCCAACATGGGGCTTTGGGGCTCAGCCAAGGGGAAGGAGGTCACACCTAAGTGCTAGTCACTGAGGAGGTTCCCCACTCCTCCCTCACAACTAAAGAAGGGCACTCGGCGTTTGCCCCGTGGCTGTTCTGGGGCCGTCTGACTTGTGTTTGCACACTGAGGCCACTGCAGAGCTGGAGAGCAGAGTGCGGGGTGCAGAGGAACTTTGCGGGGTGTTCTGACCTCAGCCTCTCAGTGCAGACAGGGAGAGGAGGCAGTAAAACCTTGAATGACCAGTGTGGCATGGAGTGGCATGGACACCCACCAATCTGAGTGGACACTGGGGACAACACTGGCCAGTAGGTCCTGGGGCCTCTGCTTAGCCAGCTGTTAACTCTTTGACTGTGGATCTTGGACAGGTGTGTGTAGGGGGCGCTGCCAGAGGAGACCCTTGGTAGCTGGGGACACAAGAAGGAGTACTGTGGTGAGGCTTGGGTGGGTGGTTGTTTAATAGATATAGAAGTAATTCAATGTTTTACCAATTAGTGTGTCTATAGTAGCAGATTTTCTATCAATCATTAGAAAAGGACTTTTTTAATGTACAAATTAATTTACAAATATCAAGGACTTTACAGTAATAATAATAATAACATATTATTATTTTCATTTTTATATATTTTTTTGAGACGGAGTCTCACTCTGTCACCCAGGCTGGAGTTCAGTGGTGCCATCTCGGCTCACTGCAACCTCTGCCCCCTGAGTTCAAGCAATTCTCTTGCCTCAGCCTCCCAAGTAGCTGGGATTACAGGCTCCTGCCACTGCGCTCGGCTAATTTTTGTATTTTTGGTAGAGACGGGGCTTTCACCATCTTGGCCAGGCTGGTCTTGAACTCCTGACCTCATGATCCACCCACCTCAGCCTCCCAAAGTGCTGGGATTACAGGTGTGAGCCACCACGCCAGGCCTGTATTATTGTTAATAATACTATTTAATCCCTTCACAGAAGCACCGGGGGCTTTGTTTTCATGCCTATTTTCCAGCAGTCTCCCTTTTAGATATAAAGAGGATATTCCTGACCTGTGGTCAGTGGACAGGAAGCCTAGGCTAACTCTTGCATTTGGGAAGGTGAAAAGAAGTAAGTTGTTCTTTCTTGCTCATTATCTCAGTCATCAGGGTTTTGATGTTATTGTAACACAGATGGTAACCTGTGGATAGGCCATCTGTTTCTGTTCACCTGTATAGATCAAGTCATTGTACACTGATGAAAAAGCGAGTTGCTCAGGATGTAACTTGTGATTCTAAACATCAAATAGAATGACAAATAGAAACTGCACTTCTTATATCACCTGCAAAAGTGCCTCTGCCGATTGGTCTATCTCTATGTCACTGCTTACCTTTGACGCGAAGTTACAGGGGATGCCATTCCTTGGCTGGCAGCTTGGAGAAGGTCGGCAATCATTTTCAGGCAAAGCCCATGGCATGAGTTGGACTCCTCATGCTGCCTGTGGCTTCAGTCACTCCAGGCATACCAATTCTCCAGGACGCTATAAAGATTTCCTAATTAGACTTTTATTGTGCTTGGAGACATGAGGATGAAGGCTGCTGGGCAGAGTGTGGCCATGATCTTAAAGATCAAAGTCAGATCTGGCGGCTTACTTCTGGATCTTGACCTTATTTTTGTAGAACTGAATAATAATAATAATAGCAAAGGTGGAAAGAAGAGGCTTTGAAGTATTATAGTGGCCTAGTTATGCTCTACCTGGGAAATGCAAACAGCTGTGAGTAACTTTAATTCTCTGCAGCATATCTGCTGAAAGGCTGACTGAACATTCAGGACAAGCCTTAGAATAAACAGGCTTGCCTGGATTTAAATGTCCAATCCTTTGTGTCGATCTTGGGGAATTAAACATAATCATGTAAACTATTGATTCAGGCCGGGCCTGCCATGCTTGTCCACAGCTTCCCCCGCAGATGTCTGGTTTCTGAGTTTGCTCAGCCATGGGAAGGGTCCCTGTTTAGGAGGACCTGCCTTTAATGTATTCTTGCTTTTCTCCTAAATGAGCATTCACCATGATGCCTACAATCACGTTAAAATCTACTTAAATCACCCAGGAATGTTTATAAAATACTTATAACACAATAATTGAACTTCACAAATAATAACCCATATTTCATAGTAACAGCTTACAATGACATTTTTATGTCCATGATCTCATTTGACCTTAAACAGCCCTTTGAGGTGGGTAGATGTTATAACCTCCATTTCATAGATGAGGAAATGAAGGCACAGAGAGGGGGGATTGGCTTAGAGTCAAAGTGTCAAAGATACAGGTGATCATCTGGTTACAAACTGTCTTTTTCAGATGGAAAACCCAGCTAGAAGAAAGAGGCTTGCCCAGTTCTCCTAATGATTGGAGCAGAGCTGACACGCCAAGGGCGTTTTCTTGCGGTTATTTTAAGGAAGCCACCTGAAATCTAAGACACTGTCCATGTGATCAGTGGCTTCAGTTCGAATGTTCCTCGGGGTCAGATCCTGGCCCGGAGCCTTTAACATGTGACCACGGGGTTGTGTTGAGCCCACAATTATCCAATTTAAAGCAATGTAAAAGACGTAGAACCAAACTACTGAGGGTGGCACATTCAGTCCTGGGAGAGGGACAGAGAAAACAGGTGGGGCATTCACGGTGGTCCCTGGAGCTTCAGCCACTCCAGAGGGTTCTGGAAGGCTCCATTGCCCACTCTCCTCTTTCCACACCCCCACCTCCACAACCTGTACTCCTCTCTGCCAGGAGCCTTGTCCTAGGCTTCAGGGTGGGAGAAGTCTCCGGTCCTGCCCCATTCCCACGGCCTCACCCCACTGACCTCCTCACTACCTTTCCCCTCTCCAAATCCGAAAAGGCTCTCCCATTGCCAGGACACTGAAGAATGGGAGACCCGCCATACAGTCCTGTCCTCAAGGAGCCTGTGGCTCAGGGAGAGGAGAGAAGGTCAGAGCTGCGCAGAGCTGGCGGTGCTTCCCCATGGTGAGTGAGCTCTCAGCAAAACGCCAGTGGAATGTGGAGATGGGCAGTGGTGGGAGTGGGGAGGAATGCTTAGCAGGGAAGAGGATAATGCCCATGAGCCCAGAGGGAGGAGTGGGATTTGTGACTGCGGAAGGCATTTAGGCTACAGGAATCACATGAGTCCCCTGGGGTCAAGTGCGCGCGCACGTGTGTGTGTGTGTGTGTGTGTGTTTGTGTGTGTGTGTTTGTGTGTGTGTGTGGTGTGTGTGTTTGTGTGTGTGTGTGTGTGCGCGCACGTGTGTGTGTTTGTGTGTGGTGTGTGTTTGTGTGTGTGTGTGTGTGTGTGTTTGTGTGTGGTGTGTGTTTGTGTGTGTGTCTGTGTGTGTGTTTGTGTGTGTGTGTTTGTGTGTGTGTCTGTGTGTGTGTTTGTGTGTGTGTGGTGTGTGTGTGTGTGTGTGTGTGTGTGTGTGTGTGTGAAGATGAGATATAGGCAAGGGTCTGTCATTAAGAGCTTGTATATCCAACAACTTTGACCTTCCCGTTGAAAACCGTGGGTTTGAAGGATTTTGAGGACAGAGGGCCTGGTGCCCTGAGGCGATGGTATAGGAACTTCCTGCTGTGTGGTGTGGAGGAAGGATGGGGGTGAGGAGGATCTGAAGGCAGACAGAAGGTGAAAGAGGCTCTTGCAATAGTCCAGGTGGGATGAAGGCCTGGGCTGAGGGAGAGATGCTGGGAATGCAGAAAGGGCAGGTTCCAGGGATATTTCAAAGTAATCACGAGGACAGTGAGAAAGAAGGAGTCAGAAACACAGGGCTGTGCCGGAGCAGCTGGTATTGGCTTGGGAGACTGATCGTGCATATCTTTTTCCAATTCTGCTTTCAGGGATGCAATGCTGGTAGCTTTAAACCAGCTACGGTAGAAGTATTAACACCACAGAAGTCAAGAGAGGCCTTTTCTCTGCAGAGAGCTGATTGTTAAACATTGACCAGCACACGTCTGCTGACACACCTGCGGCTTCTCCTGCTGTGGGTGGTCCTGAGGGCAGTGTTAGCTGGAGCTGCCTGAGGAAGCTTCAGAGGCAGGTGAGATGGGCTTTGGGCAAGGGATAGTTGTGGTAGCTGTGGGGTAAGGGAAGGCATTTCTGGTGAACCTAACGGTGTGAGCAGAGGCCCCCCTACTTTGGGGGTATCTTGGCACAGAGCAGGGAACTTAAGTGATACTCAGTGACGATCGTGGTCTATTGTTACCTAAATTAGGTCTTTACGTGTTGGTAGATTGGATGCACAAATGAAATGTTCCTTAAATCCTGACAGGTACATGGTGCCGGTTTGCCAAGAACCAGCCTATGTGTGCCAGGAGTTCAGCTTTACAGAGAGTGTTCCCTGAACCCAGCTGCCATGGTTCATTATTCACTTTAAGGGTGACTCAGAAATCAGCTTAGATTATTATTTAGCGGGAGAGGAAACTGAATCGCAGAGAGTGCTTCCGAGACTTTCTTAAGACCACAGCCAGTTAAACCTTCATCAGGATTAGGACTTTGGAGTGAGAACTTGTATTAGTTATCCACAGCTACATAAAACACTTCTCCCACATTAAAAAAAAAATAGTTAAAAAACTGCTTTTTTTTTCTTTTTCTTTTTTTTTTTTTTTTGAGACCAAGTCTCACTCAGTTGCCCAGGCTGGAGTGCAATGGTGCAATCTCAGCTCACTGAAACCTCCACCTCCCGGGTTCAAGCAATTCTCCCACCTCAGCCTCCTGAGTAGCTGGGATTACAGGCACCTGCCCTCATGCCTGGCTAATTTTTGTATTTTTGTACAGATGGGGTTTCACTATGTTGGCCAGGCTGGTCTCGAACTCCTGACCTCAGGTGATCCGCCCGTCTCGGCCTCCCAAAGTGCTGAGATTACAGGTGTGAGCCACCGTGCCCAGCCTTGTTTTGTTTTTAACTATGTTGCCCAGGTTGGCCTTGAACTCCTGGACTCAAGCCTCCTGAGTGGCTGTGAGGACAAGCACGTGCCACCAAGCTCGGCTTTTAAAAATCATTTTAAGTGGCTTACAACAATAATACACATTTATTATCTCACAATTCCTGTGAGTCAGGGATGCAGGAGTGATTTAACTGGGTGAATTTGACTTGGGGTCTCTCATGAATTTGCAGTCAAGATGTCAGCTTGGGCTGCAGTCATCTGCATGGGGCTGGAGGATCTGTTTCCAAGGGGCCCCACTCACAAGGCTGACAAATTAGCACTGGTTGCATTGGTTGTGGGCAGAAGGCTTTAGTTCTTCACGGGCTGTTGGCAGGTGGCTTTGGATCCTCACCAGGAGGGACTCTGTATGGGGCTGCTTGTGCATCCTCACAACATGGCAGCCAACTTCCTCCTGAGTGAATGATCCAGGAGAGATCAAGGTAGAAACTGCAATGCCTTTTATGACCTCACCTCAGAAGTCACACATCATCATTTCCACAATGTCACAGTGGTTATACAAGTGAGTCCTGTTCAGCGTGGGAGGAAATAACACAAGAGGCAAAGATCACTCGGGACCACCTTGTATATTGGCTACCACAGAACCCAACACAAGCAGTAAGTTAAAATCATGAAGCTCCTGACGTCAGAGGACATGGCTCTGCCATTTGTTAGGTAGGGATCCTGTTAAAGGCTCAGCTTCCTCATCTGGAAATGGAAATATAGGCCTTGCCTGGTTTGCTGTAATGGGTCGTGATGAGGACCAAACTACAAAGAGTGGTACAGATGTTAATTACAATGATTTTTCCTATGCCACCCATGGAAACAAAAATAGCAAGATAGAGAAGGCTAAATCCCAGTTTTTTTTGACTGCTATTCAGCAAAGCCTAGGAGACTTTCATGACACCTGGAGAGGCGGCCGTAGTGTATGTGTAAGAGTACCGGTTCCAGAGTGGGGCTCCCCGAGCTCAGCCCCACCACTTACCAACAGCGGACCTTGGGCCAGATGCTGAAGCCCTTTGTGCCTTGGTTTCCTGACCTATTACTGTGGAAATGATGACAGTACCCTCCTCATGGCATCGTGAGAATTAAATTAGCTAATTCAGGTGAAGCATTTAGAAGAGGACCTCCTGACACTTAATAACTGCTTGATATAAATAATAGCTTCTGCTACAGAGTGGCCATGAAGTCTGGACATGTAGATATTATATTATCATGCATCATAAGGTAATACCAACAAACCATTTATTATATATTCACCTGTTTCCAGATTTAATAGCCAACCTATATTAGTGCTCTGGTCCTAAATGTCCATGCAGTTTACTGTGCTCTTTGGTTGTATCTCTAATCCAGGTAGTTGATCTGGTGTGAGATTCCAACCTCGTGTGAGAGAGGAGAAGACCTTCATTACACTAATTCATGCTGGCCCAGCCTCCAGGCCACCCCAGATGTGAGGTGCTGTTAACACTGCTCTCAGGTGCATTGCTCAGCCCAGTGGGACCTTTTATGACACCAGCACACAGAGTAGAACAGATGTCCCTGTGCTAAGTTGATTTTGCAAACTGCAGTGGCCAGCCCCATAATGGCATAAAGATGTGCTTTACCCCAAAGGGGACAGGGTATTAGAAAACAGTTGAAAAGGCTTCTGAACAACATGTGAGGGTGCCCGGGAGAGGAATGCTCCAGATAGGGAAGGTCTGGGGCTGCAGAGATGTAGCCCATGTTAATAAGACACGTAACTCTGAGCACGTAAAACTCTTGAGCCTAGAAACTGGTAGCACTGATGGCGTTTAAATTACGTTATGAAACAACTCTTTGAAAATAATTTAACAGTTTCTATAAATACCCAGCTCTCTGGTTTGTGTAAAGGCCTTTTTTTTTTCTTTTCTTTCTTTCTTTTTTTTTTTTTTTTTGAGACAGAGTCTTGCTCTGTCACCCAGGCTGGAGTGCAATGGCATGATCTCGGCTCACTGCAACCTCTGCCTCCTGGGTTCAAGTGATTCTCCTATCTCAGCCTCCCAAGCAACTGAGATTACAGGCGCCTGCCACCACGCCCAACTAATTTTTTGTGTGGTTTTTTTTTTGTATTTTTAGTAGGGACGGGGTTTCGCCATGTTGGCCAGCCTGGTCTCGAACTCCTGACCTCAGGTGATCCATCCGCTTCGGCCTCCCAAAGTGGTGGGATCACAGGTGCAAGCCACCGTGCCCAGGCTGCTATCTTATTTTCAAGAATTTGACTCACGTCTTTCTGAAGAACATCTATCACTTAGAATGGCTTTCCCAAAATATGTTTTTAGAACACTAATCCCATGGAATGTTACGGGCATGGCATTAAAAAAGGTTTCAGTGATCAAATGAACTTGGGAAACACTGGGTCAAATATTCTTGAAGATGTTTCTTTTTAAAAGAAATTGTCAGAGCCTTTCATATGCTAATATGTCTCATGATTCTCTATGAGTGATAAAATCTATAGTTTCCCCTACATTTATTTAACCACAAACCCTGTTTTTGGAAGAATATATTTCAGAATAAGTATTCAGTGGAATCTAGATATAGGAAAGTGTAGACCCAATAATTGGAAACCTATTGTTTAGTCCGCCCAGTCCGCCTGGCACATCCACTTTTTCCGATAGCACCGTCTCTTCTTCCAAGAACTGCTCCCAGCTCATTCCTGTGGTCTCCAAGGGAACTGGTGTTTTCTTCTGTGTGCCATCCCTTGGCCAAAGTGACCCACCTCCCAGCCACTAAGTCCCTTCCCTGGAAATTTTGAATTTGGGACCAATAATTCTTTTTCTGGTGGTTGAGGCTGCGAGACACAAAACCTAGGCCGAACGCAGTGCTCACGCCTGTAATCCCAGCACTTTGGGAGGCCAAGGCAGGCAGATCACATGAGGTCAGGAGTTCAAGACCAGCCTGGCCAACATGGTGAAACCCCGTCTGTGCTAAAAATACAAAATTTAGCCACGTGTGGTGGTGTGCGCCTGTAATTCCAGCTACTCAGGAGGCTGAGGCAGAAGAATCATTTGAACATGGGAGGCGGAGGTTGCAGTGAGCCGAGATTGCACCACCGCACTCCAGCCTGGGTGACAGAGCAAGACTCCTTAGGCCACTGGGACAGTAGAAGATGTATTATCTAAATTGCCTTAGTTTGAAAGCAACAACGACAGAAAAATAACACTCTGGCTGATTTAAGCAAAACAAAAAGAAATTTGCCGGAAGGATACTGGGGCCAAAGGGCTGTCTCCTGTTGGGCAGGTTGTGCACTGCACAATTCAGGTGGTGGGAGAAGTGCTCACTTTTTCATCTATGTAGAATTGCACCTCCTAAAGTTGCACCGTACACTGCCTATAACACCATATGCAGTAGTCCTGCAGGAGTGTCTCACAGAAGTGTTTCTCAAACTCTCTGTGCTGAAGGACCAAGTTTTTAGTGTTAATGTTATTATTCAAATCCATTGTAGATCAAGACTTTGGTAAATCAAATACGAATTACTTGAAAGACAAAATTTCACTTGATATCCCAGCAATTGTTCTAAAAGTGACTAAGCACTCAGTTTCTGAACTGACCTCACTATGAACTAGTAACTCATCATTTGGGAAAGGGAACTGGTCCACAGACCACATTTGGAGAAGCACTCACAGATTGTCCAAACTCCACAAAGGTGCGGAGGGAATTAGGTGCCCAGAACAACTAGAACGAGGCCATGAAATACATCTGGATTCTCCATTTTCCATATGTTTTTCTGTCTGCCTCTTGTACTCTTAAACCTCATGGCAGAATGGCTTTCTCTGGGCTGTAGAAAACACGACCAACAGCTCTTTAGGTTTTGTGTCTTTTTTGTTTTTGAGATGGGTTCTAGCAATTCTCCTGCCTCAGCCTCCCAAGTAGCTGGGACTACAGATGCATGCTGCCATGCTCGGCCAATTTTCTTTGTATTTTAATAGAGACGGGGTTTCACCTTGTTGCCCAGGCTGGTCTCAAACTCCTGGGCTCAGACAATCCACCCGCCTCAGCCTCCCAAAGTGCTAGGATTATAGGCATGAGCCACGGCGCCCAGCCCAGTGGCCTATTTCAACTGTCTTTACTATAAGGGACCTGGATTTAGAGTCTGACTTTCCCACGGTATGATTCATCCATTTTGCTGTCTTCTTAGTTCTCATGGAAGGAAGCAACTTAATACACACAGCTTGGGAGGATGCCAGACATTCTTCTCCACCAAACGTGACATTCTGTGGCTGGGCACGCTGGCTATTTAAAGGTTCCCTTCCCACATCTGAGCCCCAGTGTAGAGACATCATGTTTGGCTGACAGGTAGAGGGAGACAGGCTAGGCATATTCTGTACACTTTGTTGGTGGGCCTGTAACATGGTCCTCTTTCTAGAAACCATGTTTAGTAATAGTATCAAAAGCTTTAAAAATGTCTTTTGCCCTTCTAATAATTACACTTTGAGGATCCTCTCTTAGGGAACTGAAAGGCCATCAGAGATTTATGCCCAAATATATCTGCTACAGTTTAACTGTAAAAATAAAAATTAGGCCAGCCTGGGCAACATGGCGAAACTCCATGTTTACAAGAAATACAAAAATCAGCCAGGTGTGGTGGTGTGCACCTGTAGTCCCAGCTACTTGGGAGGCTGAGGTGGGAGGATCATCTGAGCCCAGGGAGGTCGAGGCTGCAGTGAGAGGAGATCGTGCCACTGCACTCCAGCCTGGGTGACAGAGAGAGACCCTGTCTCAAAAATAAATAAATAAATAAAATAAAAATTAGGAATGACCTGAATGTCCAATATATAGGAATAAGTAGATAATAGAAAATGAAGTGAAAGTGATCCCAATTTATTAAAATTATGTTTATAGTGTTTTTAGTAGTATGGAAAAAAATATATATATTAGGGTAAAATATCAGGATACAGTAGATTACATATTTAAGGAAAAAACACTAAGAAAAAAGACTGGCAAGAAATAGGCTAAAATGTTCATAGTGGATGTCTCTGAGTAGTGCTACTTAAGGTGATTAACATAATTTAAAAAATATTTGTATGAACTTTCTAAATTTTGTTTTTGTTTTTTTTTTTGAGACAGAGTCTCACTCTGTTGCCCAGGCTGGAGTGCAGTGGTGCGATCTTGGCTCACTGCAACCTCTGCCTCCTGGGTTCAAGCAATTATCCTGCCTCAGCCTCCAGAGTAGCTGGGATTACAGGCGCTCGCCACCATGCCTGGCTAATTTTTGTATTTTTAGTAGAGATGGGGTTTCACCATGTTGGTCAGGCTGGTCTCGAACTCCTGACCTCAAGCAATCAGCTTGCCTCAGCCTCCCAAAGCGCTGGGATTACAGGTGTGAGCCACTGTGCCTAGCCCTAAAATTTGTATAAGGAGAACATATTACTTTGATAATCAGGGAAAATGACATTAAATATTTTAAAAAGGGGAAAAAAAGATAGGGCAGTTGCCTATTTTAGGTTGGGCCCCAAAACGAAGCTGGCGGGTCACTCGGGGGTTAGGTCTAGGCTTCAGGCTCAGCAGTTTGATTTCCTTGGCTCCTTGAGCAGATCTGGGCCAGGATCCCTGGCTCGTGCTCACAAGCAGACACAGAGCCCAACTCAGTGTGGGCTCTCGTGCATGCGTTGAGTGCCTGCGATTATCAACTCCCATTTCAACAGGTTACATTGTTTTTCTTTCCTCTTAAAAAAATTGGTTTTTAACATGCCCAGGGTAAAACCTCTGAAGTGGGTAGCATTTTCTGATTCCATCCTAGATCTGGGGAAATCCCTGTGATAGCAAAGAATAGGCAAAGTGGCTGAAAAGAAAATGGGTCATAAGGCTGAGGCTATGCATTCCCCACAACCCAGAAATTCCACTCCCAGATATGTAACCTGGGCAGACCCATACATGTGCATGAATATTCATTATGGCATTTCTTTGTAACAGTGAAAAATTGGAAACAACACCAAAATAAATGAACTCCCATTAGCATGGAGGAATCCCACGTCAAAAGTATTGAGCAAAAAAACAGCAAATAACAGTTTGATTCCATTAATATTAATATTATATTTATTTGCTATTATATTTCATGTTATCTATTTATTATTATACAAGATATTATAATTTATTAATATTATATTAGTTTATAATTTATTAATATTATATTAGCTTATACTATGTTAATATTATTTACAATGATTCTATTAAGTTAAACATGTGCTCGAATACCATTGATTATTTATGGATATCCACATATGTGGTAAAAGTAAAAAGTCATGTATGAGAATAATCAACGTGGAATTCCCGAGAGCGGTTGCCTCTGGGCATAGAGGGAGGGAAATGAAACGAGGGAGTGGTCCATGGAGAGTTCAATGGTATCTGTGAGGTTTGTGTCTTAAAAAAAATATGTGAAGCGAATATGGAAAAGAATGTTAAGACTTGACAAAGTCTGGTGGTGGGTACATGTAATTCCCTAGACTCTGCATTCTTGGAATATTCCATAATAAAAAATAAATAAAGTTAAAAAATGGAAAGTAGGACACCAACTCAGAAAGTGCATGAGACGGGCGGAGAAGACACAGGGGAGGAGTGGGCTGGTGGGCCCTTCTGGTGTGAATCTGGACATGGTGACATGGGGCGTGGAGGGCACCTGGGCACCAGAGCTGACTTGTGGGGTGCGTGTGCCCAGCCCTGCTAACCACAACATGCGATGCCTCTTTCCCTTCTTTTTCTGGCTGTACTTCTTAGACCTGCGGTCTGCTGGGAATTGAAAGTCTCAGCAGCAAGGCTTTGGTGCTGGACCATCTTGTTCTGAGGTGTGCTGCCTGCCCTAAGTACCTCCCTGGGTGGCTCCAGCCTTTGTACTCCAGGGCTGATGTAAGAACAGCACAAGTTCATGCTCACCTCCCACGAAGGGATGGAGGAAGCTTTGGGGCCTGGAGATCCTGATTTTATTTTACTTCCTCAGGCTTTACTAAGTGCTCAGATAATTCATGGAAGTCTCCACTGTCCTGGTCATATGCGCTTATTAATCTGCCTGGTCTCGTCCTTTTTATTCTTAATAACAACGTGTCCAGTTCAGTTCTATGTCAACATTCCAAGAAAATCCAGACTGAGCCTCCTCCTCACCAGTGCTCCTGTCTAGTCCTGGAGGCAGGGGACCTGCTCTGGAATCTCAGCTCATGCAGCAAGTACCCGGATGACTTTAGGCAAATCATGTCACCTCGCTAGATCTCCCTCTCTTCCTCTGGTACATGGGGCATCCATACCTGCCTCACCAGGTTGGTATGATGTCATGGTTGCATAATGTATCATTTGTCACAGTTCCAAGCGCGCTGTCTGCATGAGAACTGGCAGACTGAGTTTGCCTAGCACAGACACAAAGCATTGATTTACCTTTCCCTAGGGTCAGATTTGGCACTCAGCATTGCAGGCCTTTCAGATTCTGGTTGTCTCTTTCTTCTCACCAAGCTACCCTTCCTCCTCCTTCCTTCACTCCCAGCCGTTCTTTCCCAAGTTACCTCTCTCAGATTCCTGCAGAAAAGCCTGAGTGCCAGCCTCCAGCTCTGGATAAGATTCTCCAAGAGTGGTTCTCAATCTTGCAGAAACTCAGAATCTCCTAGGAGCTCAAAACAACACCACCAACAACAACAACACCTCTTCTCCAAGCCGCAGACTCAGGAAATGTGATTCATTCAATCTGCCTGGGGTGGTCTAGGCATAGTACTTTCTTTACCTTCTATCGCATTAGGTGAGCCTACTGTCTGTACTAAGATTCTGATCTGTAAACACCAGACTTTCCTCTTGGGCTCCTGAGGAGCTCCCCCACCATCCTAACAATGGGAAGGAGCTATCACACCTTCATTTTTTCGGTTTCTCAAATTCTTTCCCAAGCCACCGCCCGGTGCAGTGGCTCACGCCTGTAATCCCAGCACTTTGGGAACTCAGGCAGGAGGATTGCTTAAGGCCAGGAGTTCAAGACCAGCCTGGCTAACGTAATGAGACTCTGTCTCTATTAAAAAAGTAAGAGAAAACGTTTAAAAAGAAAACATTTAATAATTTGCATGTTTTTCACAAAGTTCTTCCCTAATTTTACCTTGGATAACTTGTGTGGTAGGCAGAACAGAAATAACCTCCAGGCTGTCTCAAAGGGTGAAATGGCTTTTCCTCCCAGGGCCCATATGTGCTTCTGATCTGCTTGTCCTGGGACCTAGTTGCCCTCCTGCCTGTGGAGCTCACTCTTACCACAGATCTGAAATAAACAGCCCAAATTAAACCCAGCTACATAAAGCCATCATCTTAGACTGTGAAGAATTTGTATTTAAGGGATATTTCCTATTTATTTTGGGCTTGTGTCTCCTAAGACATTGATGCTGAGTGTGGCTAAAGATTTTGAGCAGGCCCTGGCGTGTGGTCCTTGAAGGCACTGCAGGCTCGAGGGTCCCTCTGGAATCTTCCACCTTAGCCACGTCCTCCTCTCTGCGGCTCCTCCTGGCTCAGTGGGCTCCCCCGTTGTGCATGACACAGCAAGCCTCTGAGGCTCGGACTCTCTTGGGCTGCTTCTCCCTATTCCAGGTACAGACTCCAGGCTAATGGAGGATCTGGAGCCTAAAGAGCGGAAGAGACTTACCCCAAATCACACAGCTGTGGTCACAGCAATTGAAAATGGTGTGGCGGGAGGGGCAGTGCTTGGAACTCTTGGCTTTGGTTCACACTTGTCTAGAGGCCTAGGCTAGGAGGTTGGGTCTGGAGCCACATACTTATCTCAACAGCATTTAGCTTTCAATGAGCAGCATGGCTAAAGTCTTACTTCTAGTTAAATAAGGTGGTGACACCCTGGAAGTTTCCACAAGCCTCTGGCTAAGAACTGGTTATAAAAGGTAAAGCAGAGGCTCATTTCCAGTTGAATACTCATCCCAGGATGGGAATAGAGGCATCTTAGACAGAAAGGGGAAACAGAAGTACCAAGGAAGTTTGGCTGAAATTTGGGGAAGATACTGACAAATTGAGTATAACTGACTATATATATTTTGATATTTGGTTAAACTTTTGATGGGTTGGTACAATTTCATTCTTTGCTTCCCTACTCCTGCAAAACAACTTTTTATATAGCATGTTCTGATGTCTTACACCATTTGAGCTTCACAACACCCATAGTTGAGGTGATCATTGCTGTTTTATGGATAAGGGATCTGAGGGTCAGAGAGGGGCTGGCTTCTGCTCGGGGTCGTGGCTGAGTTGTCGGAGAAGCTGGGACTAGCTGTGGCTCTCTCCTCTCTAGCATCCTGCCTCTAGTTGTTCAGCTTTGGACCAACTAGGTTTTCACTTCAGCGTGACACATCGGTGTGGTGAGTTTCAGAGCAAGGATTTACAAAAGGGGATACTGTTATACTGGACCCCTGTTAATGTCAACAGGGACAGCACCAGGCTTGACAAGCCAAAAAAGAGACCCAGAACCAGCGAATGAGACACATGGTTTTATTAGGGGGAATTACACACAAGGATGGTGCAGTGGCGGCAGGCTGAACAGAACTGCCACAGCCTCCAGAAAGCGTGCAGTTAACACAACATTTTTACCTCATATGCTCCCCTTAATGACCTCCACCTGGCAACCTCCATTTAACCCAAAACAAAGAGCTTCAGTCCCCTGTATGGTCCACCTTCGATTGGATGGCTGGGGGCTCAGATGTTCCTCATAGGTAAGGAATGACTCTCTGGGTTGGCCACACTCAGAACTCTGAACACATATTCAAGTGTATCTGCCATACAGAGCCATTCTCTGTGTATGCTTAAGAAGTTATTGCTATCAGGCATGTCTACCATACAAAGGTGTGTCTACCATACAAGGGGCTTGGAAGGGGTCTTGGGAAGAAAAATATGAGTTCAATATGGTGCCTGCAGAATTGGCAAATACGTGACTCCAGTAAAACCACCCAGGGCAGACATCAGTAATCTATCAGGACATTCCTTCCCATTAAGCCTGAACATGGCTTCTTAAGACTCTGATCCAGGCAGCCATGAACGTTCAGCAGAGCGGGAACTCCTGTTAATGAGGCCTAGCCTTACTGAATGCCTGCTATGTGCCAGGCACTTGCTACCTTCACTATCGCAGTACTTCTGCGTAACTCCAAGCAGCAGGCACTGTTAACCTCATTTTACAGATGAGCAAACAGGCTTAGAGAAGTTTCTATCTTGTCTCTCCAGAATGAATCTAAGATTTGAACCTAGGCAGTACAACTCCAGAGGGACAGCTTTGTTTTCAGCTCTTTGTTGCCTTCCACCCCTGATCTGCTACTACTGCCTGCTGCCTTTCTAGGTGCAGAGTCAATGTGACTTGAGGGCGAGAATGAGTTCACATCTCCTGGCTGCTCCTCTAGCTCCCCTAATGGTACACAGCCAATGGTCACAGGCCTCATTTCACAGAAGGAAGCACAGATGGGCTGTGACATTCCAAGGAAACAGCTTAAATGACGGGAAGAAATGGAAATGGGAATAGTTAATTTCCCAACCCAGACCTCTAGGTCAGCCCAGGGACCCCAGGGACTGGGGAAGTTTTAAAAAATGCCTCTTCTTGTTCCTCAAAGCCTAACATGGTTTAATTTTGCAAATACACCTAGGGCCTGGGTCTGAAGAGTAACACAAGCAATAGCTCTGCCTAAAACCTATCTTGGATTTTGTACAAGAAAGTTGTGAAGAAGTAAGAGTGACTGGTGTTAAATGATCATCTCATAGGAATTACTACAGAATTTGACCATCAGCCTGGGCTCCTTTTTGTGCTTCCTGGGACCATCTAAATTAGTAGTTACAACGTTAAGTTACAATGCTAAATTGGAAAAATAAAAGGAGTTTTCAGTTGTGTGTGTGTGTGTGTGTGTGTGTGTGTGTGTGATAATCTATCAAGCTTCTTTAGGAGAAAAACATTAGTTGATTACATTTATTTATTTATTTATTTAGAGATGGAGTCTTGCTCTGTCTCCCAGGCTGGAGTGCAGTGGTGTAATCTCGGCTCACTGCAACCTCTGCCTCCCGGGTTCAAGTGATTCTCCTGCCTCAGCCTCGGAGTAGCTGGGACCACAGGTGCGCACTAACATATCCAGCTAATTTTTGTAGTTGTAGTAAAGATGAGGTTTCACCATGTTGTTCAGGCTAGTCTCGAACTCCTGGCCTCAAGTGGATCTGCCTGCCTTGGCCTCTCAAAGTGTGTGAGCCACCCCGCCTGGCTGATTACACTTTAAATACTATGTTTGCTGTTTCTAAACAGGCATAAAATGGGCTTACTGTTAAAAATGTGGAATCAAATCTGAAAAAAACCCACAAGGATAGTGTCTTTTTCATCTCTGTTGGTCTTAAAAACATTAAAAACGACAACCTAATTAGCTACGTCATTTTCTTTTGACTGTGGGCAGGTGGCTTTCTTTCTGGTATTCTAGAGAAGGATTAAGGATCTAAATAGATTTGCAGATAGACTGGTACAAATGTCTCCATTGTCTGCCTCCTAGGGATGGAGATCAAGAATCCCTACAGGTGGTTTATGAGGTGTACCGGTTTGAATATAACCCCACAAGATCAATATCCTCCTGGAAGCTGTGAATGTGACCTTCCTTGGAAATAGGGCCTTTACATATGCAATCAAGTGAAGATGAGGTGATATAGGATTAGGGTAGATAGACCCTAAATGAAAAGCTTGGTGTCCCTATAAGGAGAGAGAGACACAGGGGAAAAGGCCATGTGATAACACACAGGCAGGGATTGGAGTGATGCAGCTACAAGCCCAGGGGAGACAAGGATCCATGGCCACCACCAGAAGCTGGGAAGAGCCAGGGAAAGGATTCTCCCCTAGAGACTTCAGAGGCAGCATGGCCCTGCTGACACCTTGATTTTGGACTTCCAGCCTCCAGAAGTGAATAGATTTCAGAACAGAATAGATTTCGATTATTTTCAGGCACCAAGTTTGTGGTACTTTGTTATGGCAGCCCTAGAAATGAACACATAAGGGAATCTGGAATGGAATTTGGACTAACACTCATTCCAGACTTTCTTTCTGAGACCTTGAAAGTGATACCTCGATGTGGGTGAAGTGCTTGTTTTCCAGGCAGTCTCTCATTTCATCAAGTGCTGAGAAAATGGAGCCCAAACGGAGTGTGGCGGTTTTTGAAGTCAAGAATAGGCAACATCCACGAAGGCTTTTCTTTTGTTACCTGATTTCCATATTAGCTGATCTGGGAACTAGAATCACTTTTAGTTGGGAAAAACGGCTGCTCTTCCTAGAGATCTGAGCTGACTCAATAGAATAGCACTGAGAGGTTTGCTTCTGGCATGACAAGTGTTTACTGAGCAGCCAGGAGGGGCGCCTGCCTGCCTCTACTTAAGGAAGAGAGTCTGGCAATGGTGTTCAACCTGGCACATTGGAAGTACCTGGGGAGCTTTAAAAATTACCAGTGTCTGGGTCCCACCCGCAAGGCACCGATTTAACTAGTGTGGAGTGCCACCTGGCATCAGGAGCTTTAAAGCACCCCCAGGTGATTCTAATGTACAATCGGGGCTGAGAAGCACTGACAGAAGCACCTCTAGATTCCAGGCCCTTGGAAGGAATATTTCCAATGACTAAAGTAAATTAAGGAAAATTAGCAAAGACATTAAAATATATATCAAAGAGAGAGAAAAACATAAACAAATGTGACATTCAAGATGCAGTTAAACTCTGTAGTGAGCTTCTCCAATATTTAAACAATGCAGCAGCTGTTTTGGAAAGCATGGTCCCACCAAATGCAGCTCTGAGGTCCGTGGAGCGAGTTTGGATGGTTTTCTTTGTTGGAGCCCTCGGCACAATGCCTGGCACAGAGCAGTCTTCAAGGAACATTGGCCAATGTTTGTCTCTTTAAGTCAAAGAGAAAGCCATAGTTCAGATATTTCTTGGCAACCTCTTTTCTTCTCCAAAGAAGCCTGGATCATCTAAATTATCCCCCAAAGCTTTCTTCATTCTTAAGAAGGCGCATCGAATTCTTTTAAATTAAATAGTTAATGACCATTTGCTGAAGTTCCTGGATTCATTTTAGATGGGCTAAACTGGTGGTTCAGAAGAGTTGGGCACTCTTATATGGCATGTGAGCACTACCCTGACTAATCCACATATATAGTTTAGGCCACTGTATATATGGATTAGGCCAATTGAAGGGACTTTAATGTTTCATGCTTTAATTAATCCTAAGGGGCTGTCAGTGTGTAAGTTTGCTGGTGTGACATACTGCTGATCACCTTTGTGATTTATTTGCTCCCAACTTCTTAATCAGAAACAAAACATCCAATTATCCTATTGTTATTATAAGAAAATACAACACGTAATCCCAGCACTTTGGGAGGATGAGGTGGGCAGATCACGAGGTCAGGAGTTTGAGACTACCCTGGCCAATATGGTGAAACCTCGTCTCTACTAAAAATACAAAAAAAGAAAACAAAGCAAAACAAAAAACAAAAACAAACAAAAAAAAACTAGTGAGGCGTGGTGGTGCGCGCCTGTAGTCCCAGCTACTTGGGAGGCTGAGGCAGGAGAATCCCTTGAACCCAGGAGGCAGAGGTTGCAGTGAGCTGAGATTGTGCCACTGAACTCCAGCCTGGGCAATAGAGGGAGACGTCTCAAAAAAAAAAAAAAAAAGAAAAAAAAAAGAAAAAGCAAGCCACTTATTATGTGGTTTTCAGGAATATCAGTTGGTAAGAAAGTGGGAATTGCCTATTCTTGTATGAACTATTAGGTGCTATGTGGACACAGTTTAAGGAAGGGATGAGTGTGGAGTGGAAACGTCTACCACACTGAAGTAGGTGGCTGTGTTTCGAGCTTAATCTTTGTGATATAGTATCACTGCTAGCATATCTTTTTTGTTTCTGAGTAGGTATGTTTGACTCCAAAAACTTGGTAAGGACCAGACAAGGGAGGTCAATTAGAGTTAAATGTGTTTGCCAAAGCTGATGGTAGCGACCGCTTGGGCTACTGGGTTGAAAATAGTCCTGAGGCCAAATCCACGTGTAGAGGGAGAGAGTACTAAGATTGATCAGCAATGTCTCAGAGCACATGGAGGAGAGAATGGAAGCAAGAATGCCAGGCAGTTATGATGATCTTCTTAGATCCTTTTTTTGGAAGACAAGAGCTCTTGGTTGGCCAGTTGGCCTTGTCCTAGTCAAAGGAAGTGCCATTTATTTTCTAAGCAACTATGTGCACCACGAAATTCAGTGTGTGGTGCAAAGCCAGGTGACCCTTGGCTAAAAGCCCCAGTTGAAAGGTTCCCAAAGAAGGTGAAGAATTTAGTACAATCACTCTCTATGGCCACTTATTCTATTTTTATTCATTCATCATGCAGAATTTTTCTGTTTGTGAGGTATTTAAGAACATGGCACAAGAAGCCAAGCTGTTTCAAAGAATAATGGTCAATGTCCATTATCCATGTCCAGGCTTGTGATCACTGGCCCTTTAGAAAGCTGCGCATGACACTCCTGTTCCACCCCCTCTTATATCCCAGCACTCAGCAGCATGAGGCACGGTCAGCAGCAGCCCATACCACACCTTTGTGGGAATTTGAAAAACAGATCTCCTCTAGGTTATAGCCCCATGGAACACAGCTTGGCAAGCAGACCTGGGTTGGTTTTCATTTCCCACTCACCCCGTGACATGGGTCCTTTTGCATGCCACCACCATCAAGACCACATATGGCCACCTTGCCTTCATACTAAGAAATCTAATTTAATTCATGACCAATAGCCATCGCCCCCAAATAAATTACAATAACTTTGTGAAAAGCCTGTAGGAATAAACACAATTATATGCATTCATTATCATCACCCATTAAAAACCATAAGTACCAAAGGTCACAAATCCCTGACTTAGATATTTGGGAGTCCCAAGGCATCACGAGACTGAGTGATTGAAAATTTCATTGTGTGTCATGAACAAAGCTGAACCCTGTACAGTCTAGTGGCCCAAAGTCCATATCAAACAGAAGCAAATGTTTGCTAAGCTGAATAGGCTAGTGAGTAATTCAAAGACGGTTGGAAGGAAATATCATAAACCTTTGTTCATGCAGAATGCAAAGGCCTGGCAAAAGGACGCTGAGTGAGCCAAGTTTGAATAGGCTGTTACTTTAATGAAGAAGTAATAGGGAATCTGGCCATCTGGAGGGTGTGGCAGTTACTTTGAAAAGAAGCTCTAATTTGCATAAGCAAGTACTGAATGAGGGAATTTTGGATTCAGATGTCTGTGGAATGGCTCTGCTGGTTTGGAGCCTTAGGCAGGTGGGACATAGATTTTGGGACCGGTCATTTATTTTAATGTGCGTTATATGGACGTGTGTGGGTGTGTGTTTGCATGTGGGTGTGTGTGTGTGTGTGTGTGCATGTGCGTGCACATGTGCATGTGATTTGGGTGATAGAGGCATTGAATTAGCCCACATTTATCCCCACTCATGGGCTAATCCTTCTTCTCTTCTCTCTTCCTAATTCCAGTTAATGGTGGCTCTATCATTCCCTTTGTCCTCTAAGCCAGAGATTCAGAAGTAATGCTAGATGCTTCCCTCTCCCTCACTTTAATCTGTTACTCATAACTTAAATTTGCGGCCGGGCATGGTGGCTCATGCCTGTAATTCCGGCACTTTGGGAGGCCGAGGTGGGTGGATTACCTGAGGTCAGGAGTTCGAGACTAGCCAGGCCGACATGGTGAAACCCCGTCTCTACTAAAAATACAAAAATTAGCTGGTGGTGGGTGCCTGTAATCCCAGCTACTCAGGAGGCTGAGGCAGGAGAATCTCTTGAACCCGGGAGGTGGAGGTTGCAGTGAGCCGAGATTGCCCCACCACACTCCAGCCTGGGCAACAGAGCAAGACTTCCTCTCAAAAAAAAAAAAAAAAAAAAAAGGCTTCCTGAATATTTCTTGACTCTCTTCTCTTAATCCCCACTCCCACTTTCTAGTTCAAATCTCATTGCATATCATCTATAGCATTGAAACAGCCTTCTAGCTGCTACCAATCTTTCCCAGTGATGTATCCACTCCTTAGTCACAAGATGACCTTTCCAAATGATGGGTTTGATTGTGCCTCTCCCATTCCTTTGTATGCACCAGACTCTGTTCTAGATCCTGAGGGTGTAGCAGTGGCCCAGACAGTCAGGATTCCTGCCCACATGGAACTTAACTTGTTGTGGAGGGAGGGAGGACAGACAGTAAACAAGATAAGGCAGTAAAACAGAAAGCATGTCAGAAGGGTGAGAGGTGCTTTGGAGAAACATAAAGCAAGAAAGCGGGTTAGGGAGTTCTGTCGGGGGAGTGGCTGTGATTTTAAATAGGGTGGTGAAGGAGGGCCTCGCTGAGAAGGGACATTTGATTAAAGTCTTTAAGGAGTTCAGAGAGTGAGCCTTGCTGATTTAAGGAGGAAGAGTGCAAAGGCCCCGAGGTCACAGCACGTATGGTCTCCACTTAAGGATGAGCCAGGAGGTTGGTATGTTTGGAGAAGGGGAGATGGGAAGCCAAGGTGAGAGACGTGAGGAGAGCCAGGTCACAGAGGGCCTTGGAAGCCAGTGTCACACCTGAGTGAGATGGGAAATAGATTGGAAGGTTCTGAGAACAGAGTAGCCTGCTCTGGCTCATCTCATAATGAGGTCACTCTGGCTGCTGCGTTGGGAGTAGGGGGTAAAAGTGGAAGCAAACAGACCACTAGAAGGGCTACTGCAGGAATCCAGGTGAGAGTTGATAGTGATTTGGATGAGGTGGTGGTCCTGGAGGTGGAGAGGTGGTCAGATTTTTGACAACTTGAAGGTAAAGGTCACAGGATTTGTTGACGGTTTGAATGAAATAGATGAGAGGAGTCAAGGGTGACCACTTTGGCCTGAGGAACTGGAAGGATGAAGTTACAGTTCCTGAGATGACAAAGACTGGGAGGAATGAGTTTTAGGGACAGCTCATGAGTTCAGTTTTTTGTTTGCTTGTTTATTTTTTGAGACGCAGTCTTGCTCTGTCACCTAGGCTGGAGTGCAGTGGCGTGATCTCGGTTCACTGAGACCTCTACCTCCCAGGTTCAAGCGATTCTCCTGCCTCAGCCTCCCGAGTAGCCGGGATTACAGGCATGCACCACCACACCTGGCTGGTTTTTTGTACTTTTAGTAGAGATGGGGTTTCACCATGTTGGCCAGGCTAGTCTCAAACTCCTGACCTCAGGTGATCTACCCGCCTCGGCCTTCCAAAGCGCTGGGATTACAGGCGTGCGCCACCATGCCCGGCCGATGAGTTCCGTTTTGAACACGTGAAGTCTGAGATGCCTTTAGAGATCCAAGTGGAAATGTCAGGCGAGCAGTTGGACGTACGTATCTGAAAATCAGGGGGGGTGTATGTGTCAGATATATACATTTGGGAGTCAACAGCTTATAGATGGAATTTAAAAGCATGAAACAGAATGAGATCCCTGAGATAACAGGGGTAGATAGAGAAGATGTCCAAAGACTGAGCTTTGGGTAACTTCAAGATAAAGAGATCCAGAGAGGAGGAGGGACCAGCAAAGACTGGGAAAGAACAGGAGGAAAGGTTGGGGGAAAGCTAGCAGAGAGCCCTGGTAACCTAAAGCCAAAAAAATAAGCGCTTAGAGGAGGACGATGTCATTAACCAGGTCAAGGGCTGCTGATAGGTCTAGCAAGGTGGACACTGGAGAACTGACAAAATGCAGTTAGCCAGAGGCAAAGAATGACCTTTGCAAAGCAGAGGCCATTGTTTTGATGGTGTTCCGGGGTGAAAACGCAGTTGAAGTGAGTGTAGTAGAGAATGGGAGAATGGAAATTGGAAGGTGCCAGAATTCATAACGTTTTTAGGAGTTTTGCCATAAAGAGAGAGAAGTGAAGTGGTAGCTGGAGGGGGAAATGAGGTTGAAAGCTTTTTTGGTGAGTGGGGGACAGGAGAAATAATTGCCCGTGTTTATACGCAGTGGAGAGGTCCAGGAGAGAAGGGAGCATGGCTAGAGAGATGGGATTGAGCAGAGGGGTGGAGGAGCTGGCCTTTGCTGGGAGAGGGCAGATTCTCTATAAAAGACTGGGAGATAAAAGTAAGTAGGTTGATGTGATGGGGGTTCTTTTGGAAGGTCACAGCTGCCCAAAGACCCCTCAGCGGCTCCCCATGGTGCCCTGCGTGACAGAGTTTACGGACCTCAGCTCCAGGTTCTATCTCCCTGCCCTCAACTCTTGCCCTTTCTTAACCCCTGCTGCCCCGTCCCAAGTCTGCATTTACACACGTGGTTGTGTGGAGCACTCTTGCTCTCTTTGTCCTGCCCAATCTTTAAGACCTAATGTCACCTCCTCTGTTCCTCTGGGTTCCCACCATAATCTGCTCAGATCTGCACTTTATCATAGCACCTTATCACTTGTCATTTTTATTTACTCATTAGCCTTCCGTCCAGGTGATCTCCTTGAGGGCAGATGTTTTGCCTTCTTATTTGTCTGTATTCACAGCCAACCCCTCCCCCAGGACAGTGTCTGGCACAGGGAAGGAAATAAAAATCAGGTACCCAGGAAACCACAAGTGGTTCTACGTATACTTTTTACGTAAACCTTTAAATCAAATTATAACATATTTATATATGTATAACCACATAATTTTAAGTGTATATCTCTATGTTTTCAAAGGAAACGTGTGTGGCCTATTCCCATAACAATAAACAGCACCTTACCAGCACCCTTGTCTCCTTCAGAAACTACCCCGATGAGACCTCCTGTCTTGACCTCTAATGTCATGGATTAGTTTTGTCTGGTTTTGAACTTTACATAAATGGAATCAAACAGGCTGTACTTTTTTTTTTCTTTTTTAGATGGAGTCTCGCTCTGTTGTCCAGGCTGGAGTGCAGTGGGGCGATCTCGGCTCACTGCAACCTCTGCCTCCTGGGTTCAAGTGATTCTCCTGCCTCAGCCTCCCAAGTAGCGGGGACTACAGGTGAGCACCACCATGCCCGGCTAATTTTTGTATTTTTAGTAGAGACGGGGTTTCACTGTGTTAGCCAGGATGGTCTCGATCTCCTGACCTTGTGATCCGCCCTCCTCGGCCTCCCAAAGTGCTGGGATTACAGGCGTGAGCCACCGTGCCCAGCCCAGGCTGTGCTCTTTTATGTCTATGTTGTTTCCTTCACACTTACGTTTCTGTGATTCATCCACTAGGTAGTGTACAGCATTGCTTGTTCATCCCAGTGCCGTGTGGAATTCTGTTGTGTAAATACAGCACAATCTGTGTATGCACTCTCATGTTGCCTCACATTTCAGTGGTTTCTGGCTTTCATTTTTTACAAATAGCACTGCAATGAATGCTGCTGCACACGCTGTTGAGCTCGTGGACACTTTCCTGCTGGGTGAGGACCCGAACGTGAAATTGCTGGGTCATGGATTCAAGTGCTACACATATTTTTGACCACATTACTGTGACTCAGGAAGCCCAGGAACAGAATTCTAGGCACCAGAACCATACATGTTACAGCCTCTGAGCTTTATGGCCTCTGAGCCATTTGTCCAGCCACATCATTTGCAGATGAGATCCTGAGACTCAGGCTGGAAAAGTGACCGGGGAAAAGTCACACAAGTCAGAGGCAGAGCTGGAGTTTCCTCATTTCCAGGCCCGTATAGATCAAGACGGACGTTGGTCAAACACCTCCTAGTACTCACATGAAGAAGCTCTCCTTTCTGCTGTAGGAATGATCACACACCATTCCAATCTGGATACCAAATGTCATTGTTTATTAAATGTGTGCAGTGTGCCAGGCATATTGTGTCATATGTTTACATGTGTCATATATTTACATTACATATGATCGCTGGTTCTTACAACAACCCTTCAAGACAGGTCATATCAAGCCCATTTTTCAGACGGGAAAAAGAGCTCAGAGGGGATGATTAGCTTGTTCAGGTTTTCCAGTTTCCTTAGGAAGTGGCAGAGCTGGATCTGAACTCTGCTTGTGACTACTTGGGGGATGGAGGAGTGAACTCCTTTTTATCAGATCCTGGCTGCTTCGGCACCAGAAGAATGCTTCTTCCCCCTCAGGCCCTGGGGGGTTCCTCTAAAGAATAGAGACTCCCGGCTTTCCATGAGACAAAAAGCAGGCAATTCAACACGGCAAGCCCTTAATATACCTGCACGTTTCTCTGTAAGGACTGATTTAGAAAGCGGACTCACAGCCACTGCACTGATAGCAGTTTCTATTCTAAAACCTATGGAAATTGTGAACACTTGCCCCCAAAAACTCTCCCAGAAACCTTTAGGACAGTGAGGCTGTGTTCAGAAACTAATTGCACCCATATCTGAGGAGCTACCACATGAACTTCATTATTCACAGAATCTTTATAGAGAGCTACCTTACCTCCCTGTCCCTGTCCCATATCCTTGATGAGAGTTAAAATAAAAACTGAGAAAAAGATAAATGACAACCATTGACATGTGTCAGGTATTACTTATAATTCCTGACAATATATACTTAATTCTATATTATATACTTAATTCGATAATACTTATGTTGTGTCATATACTGATGAATCACTCTTTTTTTTTTTCTTTTTATGAGACAGGGTCTTGCTCTATCACCCTGGTTGAAGTGCAATGGCAGGATCTTGCAATCTCAGCTTACTGCAAGCTCAGCCTTCCAGGCCCAAGTGATCCTCCCACCTTACCCTCCCAAGTAATTGGGACTACAGGCATGTGCCACCAGGCCCGGATAGTGTGTGTGTGTGTGTGTGTGTGTGTGTGTGTGTGTGTGTATAGAGATGGGGTTTTTCACCACGTTGCCCAGGCTGGTCTTGAACTCCTGGGCTCAAGCAGTCTGCCTGCCTTGGCTTCCCAACAGTAGCTGCCATCCCGGCTCACTGCAACCTCTGCCTCCTGAGTTCAAGTGATTCTCCTGCTCATCCTGCTCAGCCTCCTGAGTAGCTGGGATTGTAGATGCGTGCCATCATGCCCGGCTAATTTTTGTATTTCTAGTAGAGACGGGGCTTTGCCATACTTGCTGAGCTGGTCCTGAACTCAGGTGAGACGCCCACTTCGGCCTCCCAAAGCGCTGGGATTACGGATGTGGGCAACCGCACCCAGCCCCAAATTGCTCTTAAATGAATTCTCTCAGTTCCCAAATCACTCTTAAATGAATTCTCTCAATCCATTCCCCCAACAATGCTTTAAGGTAGGTAGTATTATCCTCTTCCTTTTACAGATGAGAAAACAATACCTACAGTGGTGGAACAGCTTGCCCAAGGGCACACAGTAAGTGAATGGGCTGTGGCTTGACCAAGCGCCTGCACAGCAGCCTTGCTCTCTTTATTCTCATTGGTTGTCGTGGTGCACAGGGCTAAGCACTTGGTAGGTGCACCAAAAATGCTTGTTTACTAATTGATACCTTCCTTCCACTAAGGTGTTAAGTGTTGCTCTCCTCTACTTTACAGATGGAAAGTCAGTGTATCACCAAGTGATCCATCTCTGTGGGAATAAAAAGTATCTGTTAATTCCAGCCTCTGCACTTTGCATTAACTAAAGAGCGTCTGCGAGACTGGGAGACTGGCGCATTAGCAGGTGACTCTGTGGGCTATGAGCCTACAAGGACAGCTGCTTTACTTAGATTTATTGAGAGGGAAATGTGAAAGGCACCTAAAAGTCGGCTGACTTACCTCTTTTCCCTTCCAAACTCTCTCTGCTATGTGAATGGTCTCTGGTCTCCTGTATGGGGTGGGGGTGGGGTGAGGGAAAAGGGGAGAGGAGTAAGGGGAAGTAGAGGGAGAGGGATTGAGACTATAGTGGGTTTTTTGTTTCAAGGTGGTCCATTGCACACAGCCAAGAACTTCTCGGCTTTAAAAATTCCCTCTAATTCTTGCCAACATCTGAAATGAAATGGTAGAGGTATGAAAATAAAAAAAAAAGCAAACAAACCATTTTCCAAAGTCATGTTTAACGAGAGTAAGCCTGGGAACAAACACTTGAGGGTTTGGTGTTTTTGTTTTTGTTTTTTAAAATTGTTTTGTGCTGCTTTTCACTTGGAACATATCACTTTATCACAAGGGACATACACATCAATCAGCTTGGTAATGAGGTTACCCCAGCTGGGGCACCCTGATAGTACAGTCCTGGTTTGGGCAGTAATTAACTACATGACTTGGGGTAGTGACTTAACTTATCGGCATCTGAGTGCCCATCCATGTAAAAGCTATGTGGCTACTGTCAGACGTGAGGGATGAAGACGGGTGAGTGTTTGGTGTGTGTGGAGAGGAGAGTAGGTGGAGGCATTGCAATATTGTAGATTTATTGTCACCCCTACCCACAGCGATCCTGTAGAAATTTTGCAACAGAGATTTGCAACCTTTTTGGAGGAGAAACTATTTTCAGTTTCCCCTAGTATGTGGTAGGAATTCAGTCATTCCTCTGATTAAAATCTAAATGGCTGCCACTTTCATGATAAAGTTCACATTTCTGTCTTTTTTTTTTTTTTTTTTTGAGTGGAGGTTTAAGAGGCAAAAGAAAAAGAATGAGAAAGGAAAACAGCTCTCTAGTGAGCGAGAGGGGACTTCCGAGAGGAAAGACCGGCTGCTGGTGGATGTGCCGGATTTTATAGTCAGGCTTGAGGAGGTGTTGTCTGATTTACATAGGGCCCACAGATTGGTTCAATCAGGTATGATGTTTACAAACTGTGCGGGCAAGCCTGGCCACCCCGCCCTAATCCCATTATGCAAATGAACTTTCCCCTTGGCCGGTGCCAACTTGTCTGCTCCTTACTGTACACGTGACTGGCAGAGAAGGGAAGAGGGAGCCGCCATCTTGAACATGATTGGCACAACTGACAGCATCTGTGTCTGCAGCTCGATTTTATAGGCTGCTCTGTGTTAGAAAGAAAAATAATTTGGGGCTGCTTTTCATCAAAAGGAAAATCTTGCCAAGGACTTCCATACCCTCACTATCTGCCTAAGTAATTTCTTCTTAACTCCTGTATCATTCCGCCCTCTGGAGTGGTAACCCTAACTGTTGTTAGGGGGTGTTGGATAAACACTCTTTCTGGCTACTTCTTGCTGAAAAGGGGCATTGTGTGGGGAACAGCAGCTAGGGCTCCTCCTGGGGTTGATTTAAGGATCCTCGGAAGAAAGGTGTGTCCATGCATGGTTCTGTCTGAAGCAGCGTTTGGAGTTTGATTGCTGTCAGCCATTCTGATGGGTTCTAACACTGGTTTGCCTCCATTAGATGTTGCGTTTCGATGAATGTTGTACCTTGGTATCCCGGACGAGGTCCCCGATATGAAGCAGCTGTTGTCTGGGGTAAACACCTGGGGTTTGTTGTCTTGCACCAGGAACATTTAGGACACGGACACACATGAGGAGTTTAGGAGCAGAGGTTTAATAGGCAAAGGAAAGAGAAAGGAGAAAGGAAAACAGCTCTCTCTCTAGTGAGAGGGGACTTCCAAGAGGCAAACACCCAAAGTCCAAATTTCTTTAACCTGCCCAACAGGGATTAAAGACAATACCACTTTAGGCATGTTTTAATTTTTTGTGTGTCTTCAGGCTTTATGTACAAGTTACCTGGATCAGATTAATTCAGCTAAAAGAGTTTTTATGAGCTCAATTAGATGGAACTTATCTTAAAATGCCCGAGGATCATCTAGATTGGGAGGTGATCCTCTGAAGCACAGATTATTACATGGCAGGTGCTAGGTTTAAGTTTTGCCCCCAAAGGACTCCCAATCTATAGCTCCAGGAGAGCTATACTTTTATTCTCAAGCCTATTTGATGTGCATGAATGCCCTTGCAGTGCTGGCGGGGTGACTTCATTAGAAGAGTTTGTCATCTCTGCACCTTGCTCTGCACTCCCATGACCTCTCATGGGGTGCTCGCAGCAAAGAGATCTTTCAAGCAGGAAAGATCTTGCTGTGAATTCACCTTGCTGTGAATGTCAGGCTCTTGGATTGAGTCCCTAAAGAAGCCCCTGACCCTGACCCTCATCTCCAGAGCCTGGGGTCCCTGGCAGTCTGCCAGGCTTCTTGGAGGTTAATTTCTGCAAGAGTGAACATACATACAATCAATTCCCAACAAGGAGACTGTTCCTGTGGCACATGGAACATGTTGTATGGGGAAGTGCAAATGTCAAGAGCCTCTGAATTGTTGAGAGAAAATGTCTTGTTCAGAGAGCGACTGCAATCCGATTCCCATCTGATTGTCTTGCATTACTCTGTTTTCTCTCTTTTGCATTTAAGTGTTTAAAAATAAAAGTATGCAAATATGAGACATGGGCTGCTACTGTGGAAACAAAGTGGGATAATTATTACTTGGTATTCTGCGCAAAAGAAGGCTAGACAGTTTAATTCTAGAGACCTAAGTTTGGAAATTAGAAGGAATGAAAGTTAAATGGGGAAGAATATATCCTAGGATAAAAAGATCCCCAAAGTTAATGTGTCCAACATGTCCTTATTTATTCTTTAACACAATTAACAGTTGCAAATAATTTATTTTAAGAGACTGCTGATAGTAACTTGTTAACCTATAGACTATCCATCATGTCCTTGGAACACCTGAGGTGGGTTATGCCCATTTTCTGGTGATTTCGAGAGGGAATGGAAAATTTCAGTCGCCGGTTTAAGTAATGGAACCAAGAATTAAATTGCAAATGACAAAGTATTCCCTTGGCCTGTAGCTTTGAAAGTCACTTTCCAGTACAAATGTTGCAACAACAAAGGGAGCAAGACAATTTGTTTCTTTAGGGGTATTTATTCTCATCTCCCGTTCTGCCATTTCACTGCTATTTCCAAGGTCTGTTTGGGAGAGGAGGAGCCTTAAATGAATACACTCAACAACAGAAAAACCACAGACTGTTCGAACTGGGAGACCAAAGAGCCCAGCCTCGTCAGTGTCTGGCTAAGGATTCCGAGTCCCCAGAGGAAAAGGGACTTGCTTAAAGTCATAGAACTGGTATGAATGGGGAATGGGGAAAGACTCAGGGAGAATGTTCCAGACAGAGGGAATACTTGTGCAAAGTCTCCAAACCTGGGAGGTGTTTGGTATGTTTAAGAACCCAGAAGAAAGCCATGTGTGGCTGGAGCACAGGGGCTGGGCAGAAGAGGAAGCTGGAGAGGAAGCCCCAGCTGGACCACAGGAGGACATCTGCTATTTATTTATGTATTTATTTGAGACAGAGTCTCACACTGTCACCCAGGCTGGAGTGCAGTGGCGTGATCTCGGCTCACTGCAACCTCCCCCACCCGGGTTCAAGCAGTTCTCCTGCCTCAGCCTCCTGAGTAGCTAGGATTACAGGTGTGTGCCACCACGCCTGGCTAATTTTTGTATTTTTCATAGAGACGGCGTTGTACCATGTTGGCCAGGCTGGTCTCAAACTCCTGACCTCGTGATTTGCCTGCCTCAGCCTCCCAAAGTGCTGGGATTACAGGCATGAGCCACCGCTGAAAGAGACGGGATAAAAAAGATATTCCATGCAAATAGAAACCAAAAGAGAGCAGCAGTAGCTGTATCATTACCAGATAAGATAGACTTTATGTCAAAAACTGTCACAAGAAACAAAGGTTATTATAGAATGATAAAGGCTTCAATTCATCAAGAAGCTGTAACAATTGCAAATATATATACACCCAACATCAGAGCACTCCAATATAAAAAGTAGATATTAACAGATCTGAAGGGAGAAATAGACAGCAATACAATAATTGTAGGGTACTTCAATATCACACTTTCAACAATGGATAGATCTTCCAGACATGAAATCAATAAGGAAACATTGGACTTGAACAGCACTATAGACCAGACGGACCTAACTGACATCCTGGCATACCTTGGGGATATTTGGGTTCGGTTCTGACCACTGTAATAAAACAAATATCACAATAAAGCAAGTCATGAATTTTTTGGTTTTCCAGTGCATATAAAAAGTTATGTTTACACTATCCTGTAGTTTATTATGTGTGCAATAGCAATACATCTTTTAAAAATGTACATTATTTATTTTAAAATCCTTTATTGCTAAAAAAATGATAGTGATCATCTGAGCCATCAGCAAGTTATAATCTTTTTGCTGGTGGGGGTTCTTGCCTTGATGTTGATGGCTGCTGACTGATCAAGGTGATGGTTGCTGAAGTTGAGATGGCTGTGGCAATTTCTTAAAATAAGATAACGTTGAAGTTTGCAACATCGATATTGACTCTTCCTTTTATGAAAGATTTCTCTATAGCATGTGATGCTATTGGTAGCATTTTATCCACATTATGACTTCTTTCAAAATTGAGTCAATCCTTTCAGACACTATCACTGCTTTATCAGCTAAGTTTGTATAATATTCTAAATTGTTTGTTGTCATTTCAACAAAGCATCCTTAGCAGGAGTAGGTTGTATCTCAAGAAACTATTTCTTGGCTGGGTACAGTGGCTCACGCCTGTAATCCCAACACTTTGGGAGGCCGCGGTGGGCAGATCATGAAGTCAGGAGACTGGGACCATCCTGGCCAACATGGTGAAACCCTGTCTCTACTAAAATACAAAAAATTAACCAGGTGTGGTGGTGCATGCCTGTAGTGTCCCAGCTACTCAGGTGGCTGAGGCAGGGGAATTGCTTGAACCCAGGAAGCGGAGATTGCAGTGAGCCGAGATCACGCCACTGCACTCCAGCCTGGAGACAGAGCAAGACTCTGTCTCAAAAAGAGAGGAAAAAAAAAAAAAACCCAAAAAAAAGGAAAAAAAGAAAAAAGACACCATTTATTTGCTCATCCATAAGAAGCAACTCCCTGGGCTGGGTGCAGTGGCTCACATCTGTAATCCCAGCACTTTGGGAGGCCGAGGCAGGCAGATCACGAGGTCAGGAGATCGAGACCATTCTGACTAATACGGTGAAACCCTCTCTCCTACTAAAAATACAAAAAATTAGCCAGGCGTGGTGACAGGCACCTGTAGTCCCAGCTACTCAGGAGGCTGAGGCAGGAGAATGGGGCGTGAACCTGGGAGGCGGAGGTTGCAGTGAGCCAAGATCGCGCCACTGCACTACAGCCTGGGCGACAGAGAGAGACTCTGTCTCAAAAAAAAAAGAAGCAACTCCGAGCGTCACTTCTATAATAAGTCTAGTTATCTTGTTATTTATTTGTACCTCATCTGCAGGACTTCCTCCACCCAAGTCTTGATGCCTTCAAAGTCATCCATGAAGGTTGGAACCAACTTCTTCAAAATTGGTTGTTAATGTTAGTATTTCAGCCTCCTCCCGTGAATCACTAATGTTCTTAATGGCATCTAGAATGGTGAACCCTTTCCAGAGGGTTTTCAATTTACTTTGCCCAGATCCACCAGATGTGTCATTGTCTATGAGAGCTATGGCCTTACAAAAGCTGCTTTTCTTTTCTATAGTGTTACAACCATAACACTATAGAAATCATCAAATCCAGCTATATACATATAGCTGGGCCTTGTTTTTAATCCAATGGGCCCCTCTGTCTTTTGATTGGAAAATTTAATCCATTTACATTTAAAGTGATTATTGATTTTTAAGAATTATTATTGCTATTTTGGTAATTGTTTTCTAATTTGTAGATCCTTTGTTCCTTTCTTCTTCTGTTGCTGTCTTCCTTTGGGATTTGATGTTTTCTGTAGTGGCATTGATTTCTTTCTCTTTCTGTTTTGTGTATTTAGTGTAGGTTTTTGCTTTGCAGTTACCATGAGGCTTACCTAAAACATCTTATGGTTATAACAGTCTATTTTCAGCTGGTAACAACTTAACTTTTATGACGTACTAAAACACTACTTTTAATCCTCCTCCCACTTTATGTTTTTGATGTCACAATTTACATATTTTCATATTGTGTATCCATTAACAAATTATTGTAGCTATAGTTATTATTAATGTTTTTGTCTTTTCCTACCTCTTTCTAAAGCCTCTCTAATGTCTCCTCATTTCCCAAATTATGGGCCTTTGCAATTCCTACCCCTCTTCTGACCATTGGCATCACCCTGTCTAGACTATGAGCTCATGGAAAGCAGGGGCTGAGTCTCTTTTGTGCTTGGCCCATGGAAGGTGCTTGATCAAAGTTTATTCCTTTATCCTTGTTTTTGTCTTGGGAACATTTCCGCTTCAGCCTATCCTCATTTTTGGCACAAATGATTAGAATTGCAAGAACGTCTCACTGGTTCACCTGCCTCTTTGTCTCCTGAAGGACACTAGGGTTCGGAGAGCCAATGGTCCAATCAAGTGGCCAGGCCTGTGTCCTCTCTTCCTTACCCCTCAGTGGGCACACTGCCCTCTCTTCCTTAACCTTCAGTGGGCACACTGCCTTCTCTTCCTTACCCCTCAGTGGGCACACAGCCTCTGCCTCGGGATGCTCCTTCTGCTTTGGCTTCCTTTGCTTTGGCTTCTGCTGATTCTGTCCTTTTTCTCCAGCTTCTGCTGCAGTGGTCAGGTCTGTTGTTCTGCTGCAGTGGTTTGGTCTGCTGTCCTGCTGCAGTGGTCAGGTCTGCTGTCCTGCTGCAGTGGTCAGGTCTGCTGTTCTGTGTTCTGCTGCAGTGGTTTGGTCTGCTGTCCTGCTGCAGTGGTTGGGTCTGCTGTCCTGCTGCAGTGGTTGGGTCTGCTGTTCTGCTGCAGTGGTCGGATCTGCTGTTCTGTGTCCTGCTGCAGTGGTCAGGTCTGCTGTTCTGTGTTCTGCTGCAGTGGTCGGGTCTGCTGTTCTGCTGCAGTGGTCAGGTCTGCTGTTCTGCTCTCTCTCCTCTTGTGTCTGCTGCTTTGCGTTGGCTTCAGCTTCTGCTTTCTTCTGCCTTGTGCTTTGGCTTCTGCCTTTTCTGCTTCTGCTTTTTTCTCAGCTGCTTTTTCTGTTTCTGCTTCTCATCCTCCCTCTACTACGACTTCCCCAACCCAGTCTTGCTCTTCCGCCCTCTCTTCCCCACTCTTCCGCCCTCTCTTCCCCCTTCTTCTGCTTCCCATGCTTCTTCTACTGCTGTCTCTGCTGGTGCTTCTTCTTAGCTGTTGCTTCTCTCTTCTGCTTCTCTTTCCTCCTGTGCTTGCTGCTTCTGCCTCTGCTTTTCCTGCTGGTGCTTCTTCTGCAACATATTCATCTACTTCTCCTTCTGCTTTTTCTTCCTTTTCCTCCTCCTCTTGCGCTTTTCCTCCTCCTCCTCCTGCCTTTTCTGCTGCTTCTCTTCGTTCTGCTGCTGCTACTTTGGCTTGTTTCCATTTCTCTGCTCTGACTTTTGCTTTTGCTGCTTCTCCTTCTGCCGCAGCTTCTCCTTCCTCCACTGTGACTATGTCTCCCTCTTCCCTCCCCACCCTGCCTTTCTCTTCCCTCCTCTTCTTTCTCCCCTTCCTTTTCTCCCCCCGCTCTTCTTCTTCAGCTCCTGCTTCTATTTTTGCTCCTTCTGCTTCTTCTCTTGCTGTTCTTGTTTCTCCTTCCAGGGTTACAACATCTACTTCTCTTCCTCTTCCTTTCTCAGTTTCTCGCTCTTCCTCTGCATCTGTGTGTGTCTGTGTGTGCAGCTTCTGCTTTCTGAGCATCTACTTCTGCTTTGCATGTTTCTGCCACTTCTCCTTCTGCCTTTCCTGCTGCTTCTGCTGCTTCCATGCCCACTTCTTCTTTTCTGCCTCTGCCTCAGCGGCTGCTGCTGTTGCTACGCCTTCCTTCTTTTTTTCTTCCTCCTCTTCCTCTTCCTTCATCTTCCTCTCTTCTGTGGCCTTTGCTTCTGGTTCTGCTTTTTCTGCTCACTTTCCTTCTCCTCCTGCTCTGTCTTCTCCTCCTCCTGTCTTCTTCTTCTCTTCCTCCTCTGTTTTCTCCTCCTTCTTGTCTTCCTCCTCCTGCTGCTCAGTTTTGAACATGCTGAATTTAAGGTGCCTGTGAAACATTTACTTATACCTTCTCTAGGGCTTTCCAGTGTTCTTTAAGAGCTTCAAAATTTCCACCAACTTGGAACTTGCTGGCTGACCTTCAGAACAGTCTCTTTTAGTAGGTAGCAGATAATAACAAGACTTCACAAAGGAGCAGTACTCTACAATTAACCCAGTATTTACAAACCCATTATTTTATTAGTAGAACAGGGAAACTGAGGCTCAGAGAAATTCCCATACTTTGCAAGGCTGCATAGAAATAAGTGAAGCTTTTATAAGAACCTAGAGCCCCTTTTCCCAGGGTTTGCCGTAGGGCCTTACTTTTTAAAAATTTGTTATTTTAATAGACTTTATCTTTTTAGAAGCAGCTATAGGTTGACAGCAAAATTGAGAGGGAAGTACACAAAGTCCCAACAGGACCTTATGTTTTTACAGAGCTTAACAAGTCCCTTTGTATCCATGATTTCATCTGTTTAGGAATCACTTGAGAGGATGTCAGCTCAGAGAGGGAAGGGATTCAGTTATGCCCACACAGCAAAGCAATGCCACCTCACTGGGGTGAGGGCCCCTAGCTTCTTGTCCAAGGGCTCAGGAAGGACCAGTGCCATTCAGAAAAGTAGTGAGGCAGTGAGTGGTAGGTGTGGGCATTAAGCCAGCTTCTCTTAGTATGTCACCAGTCCCTCCCACTCACATCCCGGCATGAGAGAGTCATCCAGATCTGGTTCTCTGAGTTTTTCCATCCTTAAGGAAAATTCTAGTGACCTAAATCTGGGCCAGAAAACCAATAAACACAGGAGTTGCTTTTTAAGAAAAACTCAGTTGATAGGCTGAAAGTGCCACGAGGCCACAGGACAATTAGAGTATGCTGGGCTCCAAATGCTGAGCAGATGCCATCCTGGTTGGGAGCCAGGCCCTGGGAATAGAAACACCAGCCCTCTGTGCCAGCCCTGGCAGGGCCCTGGGAGGCAGCTGGTCTCCAGCCAGTGGCTCCCCTCTGTTGCCAGCACTGCACAGGCCCCAGGGGAATGAAAATTGAATTTGGCAAAATTCACATTCTTGTCTTTGGAGAGTGGGTGAGAGTTGCACCCTGGGAAGTAGATTATCAGCCAGCCCCATGAGGGGAGGGCTCACGTTCCTTTACTCGCCATCATGTCTCCAGGGTCAAAATCAGTGCCTAGCATATAACAGGTGCTCAGAAATGTTTGTTACTGACTATCTACACACTGAAGACAGGGAACGGAGCTTTCACCACTTCCTAAGGTTTCCAATTCCCAGATCTTTATGTTTGTAGGACTCTAGGTGGCTTCCGATTAAGTACCTATTGTTGAGGGGGACTGTGGGGAGTGGTTGTCCAAATAACAAGAGAATGGCTTCCACAGTCAGGTTCCATTTTAGAGGAGGCTCAGGGTGGAAGTAGTTTGCAAGGGAAGAGGCAGCCCGGCTGAGTCTTGGGTCTTGCAGGAAGGGAGGAAAGGGGATGCCAGAGAGATGTCTTGGGCATGGGAAGAGAGCCTAGGGCTTAACTATAGAAGGGCTTGTGGATGTCCTCTTGCTAGTTGTCCATTCACCAAGCATCTGTCTGTGGGCCTCTTCTTCGGGATGGGCTCTCCTGGGAAAGTACTGCATCTCTGTGTAGAGAAAGTGCTCCTTTCAGAGGAAGTGCTTTGAAGGGTGTGCTTAGAAGACATACCTTGCGATCTGGAGCGCAGATGGCCAAAGACACAAAAAGCCCCTGTGTACAGCCTCCCTGAACAGAGCAGCCCCACCCTAGAGGCTCCACTGGGGTCACTTCTGCCTACAAATAAGGACATGCTGCGAAACATGCTGACCAGTGCCTGCAGTGTGGGGCAGAGAAAGTAGCAGGTGGTTCAGGAAGACAGGAGGAAGCCTGTGGAGGGGGCAGCACCGGAGCTGGCCCTGGAAGTGTGGGGCAGACTTGGCCATAGAAGGGCAGCATAATCAAAGGCGAAGAATCGGGAGTGTTGTGTGAGTCACAGGTCATCCTGTTTGGCTTGAGGCTCAAGGAAGTGGGAGCTGAGGTTGGAAATGTAAACCTAGGCCAGGCAGAGCACCGTGGCTCACACCTGCAATCCCAGCACTTTGGGAGGCTGAGGCAAGAGAATCACTTAAAGATGGAGTTTGAGACCAGCCTGTGCAACAAAGCAAGACCCCATCTCTAAAAAAATTTTTTTAAAAATTAGCCTGGTGCCGTGGCATACACCTATAGTCTCAGTTACTCGGGAGGCTGAGGCAGAAGGATGGCTTGAGCCCATGAGCCCAGGCATTCAAGGTTACAGTGAACTATGATTACACCACAGCACTCCATCCTGGATGACAGGACAAGCCCTGTCTCTATAAACAAATAAACCAGCCAGGCACGGTGGCTCATGTCTATAATCCCAGCACTTTGGGAGGCAGAGGTGGGTGGATCACGAGGTCAGGAGATAGAGACCATCCTGGCCAACATGATGAAACCCTGTCTCCACTAAAAATACAAAAAAAAAAATTAGCTGGGCGTGGTGGCACGTGCCTGTAATGCCAGCTACTTGGGAGGCTGAGGCAGGAGAATAGCTTGAACCAGGGAGTCGGAGGTTGCAGTGAGCCCAGATCATGCCGCTGCACTCCAGCCTGGCGACAGAGTGAGACTCGGTCTCCAAAAAAACAAACAAACCAGTAAACAAGGTCAGAGATGTATGTGTCCTCCCCACGTCCCTCTGCTTTTTTTGACTTCTGGTGAAGAAAATTAGAGGATTAAGTTAATCAGATCCTGCAGTTCATGACATATTACCATCATTGGTCCCTACACATTCCCTCTCTTGATTTGCTTATGTATTCTCATTTCCCCATCCATAGCGGGATGGCTTGCTTCTAATACATTTGCCATCCTTCTTTGTGTTTGTGCATGTTCTTATATAAGTGATATTGCTGCCTAGTTCTTAGGATGCATTTTGCTTTAATGTATGTAAATGATTTGGGATTTCGTATATGTTATTCTGCTGCTGGCTTTTTTATTTGGCACTAGGATTTTAAGATTCATTCATACTACCAAGTGTGCGTACAGGCAATGACTTCTAAGGGCTGTGTAGTACCACTGAAGTACACCCACTACATCCTGTCCACGCCCAGGGGTGGACATCCATGTTGCCCACAAGTGGTTCCTTGGCAAAGGAACGCCATGTTGAGAGTTGACTTTTAGGCAGGCTGGTGGCCTGACAGGGCTGACGCATGATCACCAGTCAATGAGACACTGGTGAGCCCAGCTTGGATGTGTCCAGCTGGAGTTAAGTGGCTGTGACTTCAGGTACTTAAGGGACCTGCACGGCTTCTTACAGGCGGTCTGCATTCTTGGTAACGCGTAATGTAGTGACTCATGGGAGAAATATTAGGTCTCGGTCCTATCTCGGTCCTAGCTTTGAAAGGACAATGTGTTTTTGATGCATAAGAGGAAGTTTAGGAAGCAGCCCAGGAGGTCTGTTTTCCCGAAGGTTGGGCTGTGAGTAAACGTGGTCTTTGGTTTGATGCAGGGAAAGGGCGGGGGAGGGGTGGCACATACCCGCAGCAATCCGGGGGAATGGCATTGAACTGGAAAAGTGTGTGTGTGCATGTAAGTGTGAGTGTGAGCATGAGCATGAGTGTGTGTGTGCCAGAGTGTGTGAGAATGTGACTAGTCCGGAAGGGCAAGACATGGAGGTGGCATAGGGACAGGCTGTGGTTATGAGACTGTCTTCGTTCTCTCTTTTACTCATCCAACCTTGCCACGACTTAGCCTGCTGCTGGATCCCCTCCGAAGCTTCTCACTGAGGAGCCACAGTAAACTGTTATTCTTCATTTAACTGGGTTGGTTCCTGTGTATGCTTCCTGTACTTCTGGAGAATTTGTTTTCAATTTAGGGAGACAGTCCCTCTCTAAAAGAGCCCAGCAGCGCCACTGTCTGCACAGCACGTCTGTCCATCTGAGTGCATAAAGAGGCCGGGTGTGGTGGCTCAAGCCTGTAATCCCAGCACTTTGGGAGGCCGAGGTGGGTGGATCATGAGGTCAGGAGTTCGAGACCAGCCTGGACAACATGGCGAAACCCTGTCTCAACTAAAAATACAAAAAATTAGCTGGGTGTGGTGGTGGGTGCCTGTAATCTCAGCTACTCAGGAGGCTGAGGCAGGAGAATTGCTTGAACCCGGGAGGCAGAGGTTGCAGTGAGCCAAGATCATGCCACTGCACTCCAGCCTGGGCGGTAGAGGGAGACTCTGTCTCAGAAGAAAAAAATAATAATAATAAAAAAAGAAGGTCTTGCAAAGGCACTCAAGCAGCCGAGGATGCGGTTTTACTTCTCAATGTGCTCCTTTCAGGCTGGCCAAGGCTTGGAGGGGGCAGGCAGGGGAAAGGGCATCAATGTGACGCAGTCCTAGGATCCCAGGCATTTCCTCTCCACCTCCAAGACCCACAGATGACGTCTCCAAGGCAGGTTGCAGATTGGATCCAACAGAGGTCCTGGGAATCTCTACGTCACCTCTATTAATTATTTCCATGCATGTCCCATCCCTTGGAAAACCCTGTCAGTAAAAGAATGAGCGTGGTTCCTCAGTTTCCTCCATGTGGAATGCAGCTACTTCCACAGTGACATCAGCATTGGAGATGCCTGCAGCTCTGGGGCTGGCAGTTCCCCGAGGGTGGGGCCCATGCCCATCCTGTTCACTGCTGGACCACAGCATCTAACACAATGCCTGGCATATAGCATAAAATATAAATTCAATATGAATTGAGCAATATCTGAAATTAAGTGGCAGGGACCAGAGAAAGAATCCGATTTTACAGGGAAAACGAGATTAAGAGAGTTGAAGGAGGCGTTTCTCAATTTTATTATTGAAAGTTTCTGGTAAATTATTTGATATGACACTTTGACAGGACACCCTTAAGTTATGGGCAGCTTTGATTGCTAGAATGTTCTTCTTTAGAAGCAAGCAAACACTCCTTGATGGAATACCCGCTGGATGTTCTGCTCTGGATGAAGCCTCAGGGCTACTATATATAGAGTATAATATATATTTATATATAATATATTTAATATATAAATATATATTTATATATAATGTATTTTATATATATATATTTATATATATATATATTTAGAGGCAAGTTCTTGCTCTGTCATTCAGGCTGGAGTGCAGTGGCATGATCCTAGCTTGCTGCAGCCTTGAACTCCTGGTCTCAAGTAATCCTCCCACCTCAGGCTCCTGAGCAGCTGGGACTATAGGTGCACACCACTATGCCCAGCAACTTTTTTCTTTTAGAGATGGGGTCTTGCTATGTTGCCCAGGCTGGTCTTGAGCTCCTGAGCTCAACTGATGCTCGCACCTCGACCTCCCAAAGTGCTGGGATCACAGGTGTGAGCCACCCTGCCTGACCCAGAGCTAATATTTTGGAGCATCTTCTCCGAGCTGGGCATTGTTTTAGGTGCCCTACTTGCATTACCTTATTTAATTCTCATTGTAGTCCTTTGAAATAAATCCCCAGTTAGCAGAAAAGGAATCTAAAGTTTAGAAGGGCAAATGCTTTAAGCAAAGTAAATGGCCCCGCTTTCAGCTGGGGAAGCTGCTGAGAGGACATACTGCATTTAGAGGAGAATGAGAGATGCCCTCAAACTTTCAGCCCTTCACTTTTAGATCAATTCCACTCTTTACAGGAGATTTACATTTTATTCTTAGTGCTTTTCTGAAAGTCCCAACTATTTTTAATTTTTTTATAGTTAGAATATAAATTAATGTGTTATAAAAATAAAATGGAATTTTAAACAGAAAGCTGGCTTGAAGATTTTGTAATGAGCTTACTATTTGAATAATGACACAGAATTCATGTTAACACAAACAATGCACCTTAAAGTAAAACCCATTGACAGAGGCTGCAAGTGAAAGACTGTGAAGTGATGCATATAGTTGCTATATTTAAGCTATTAAGGGCTCAAGGGTATTCTTTTGCCTTTAGGATTGCCTTGGAAAGAAATCAAACTCAGAAACAGACAAGCCAAGCCCACCGTATTCTTGGAGACACCTTCAGGTGATGGGAAGGGCCGCCCACTCTTGCAGGTCCTCCTTGGCTGACGCAGGCTTTCCTTCGCCCTCCCTAGGATGGCCTCTGAGGCCCTCTACCTTCCACTTCCCTCTGTTCTCTCCATTGCTCAAGATTTCTCACCTAAGTGGCCTTTTTTCCCCTGACATGACCAGGCTATTCCTATTCCTGGCTCAGAGCCTTTGCACTTGCTGTTGCCTCTTCTTGGGACTCCTCTTCCCCAGATCTTTATGTGGCTGGCTCCCTGTCTTCATTAAGGTTCCAGTTCTGGCATCCCATTCTCAGGAAGCCTTGCCTGACGATCCTCGCTGAAGAGGTGCCTTTCTGCCTCCCTGCTCTAGCTATCCTGGCCACTCTGTATCCCATAACAGAATATGACTCCGTTCTATTGTCTTGATAACATTTGTCATATGTCAAATGATCTTATACATATAATTGCTTAGGTGTCCCTTACCACCTTTCCCTTTGGACCACTCAGTGAAAGCAGGCACTTCTTCTTGTTCACCATTGTTTCGCCAGCACCTATGCTGTGCTGTGTACAAAGGATGTGCTTAGCAAGCATTTGTCAATTACATCAATGACTGAATACTTGGATGAGTGAATGAGCCAGCTAAACTGGAGGTAGTACAGTAAAAAGGGATCTGGACTGAGGAATGAAAAGACGCCATAAAAGTTCTCACCTCCTTGCTCCATCAACACAGGGGCCATTGATTTTTGCGAAAACCCCTTAATCTCTTTAAGCCTCAACTTCCTCATCAGAAAAATGGGGATAACAACACCTTCCCTTTGTGCCTCCCCAGGTTGTGAGTGAGGAATGGATGCCATTGTTAGTGGCTTCCGTTGTGCTCAGTGGAAACACGCATCTACAGGTAGAATGTAGAGGAACAGCCCAATTCAGCTGTCTTGTGGATTTCAGGTTTGTTTTTGTTTTTTTTTTTTCCAAGCAACAACTGAGTGTTTCCTGAGCACTATTAGATCCCCAGAGCTCCTAGGGACTGGGATCTGCATAAGAGGCAGGGACCTGGCCCTTGATTTAATTGGGGAGTAATTAGTGAGCAATGCCAGCCCTTTATTAGTCATGGTCTAATAAGCTGAAATGAAGTAAGGCCAAAAAAATCCATTAACTATAGCCATATTTACACTTTCGTTGTCAGCCACACCATTGTTGGTTTAAAACAAGCCGCCTTTAATTTATTATAGTCATTATTTCTGTCTGGAAGAGAAATTCAGGAAGGAACCTGAATTTCGTAAGTATGCGTGCAATGATTACAGTTGAAGGGAATCTATGCTTGGTGGATATTTTTCAGAACCAGTGAATCTCAGAATAGTAGAACTTTTACTACTTCTAAGAAAGAAATAGGTCTCACACTGCACTAATAAAGAAGGTCCTAGGAACTATGTTTGCTAAGAGACTTCCCTTTTGGTCTTAACTGCTAACTAACACAGCAGGAACCTGAATTATTTGGGAGATAGGACTTGGAAATAAGAAAGAAGAGAGTGAGGTATGAGCATGACAGGACCAAGCCTCTCAGGCTGGGGTGAAGATGGCACACTTTGGGTGCAGTGAGGAGGCTGGCCTGCCTGGAGTGGGGTTTGTGCCGAGAGGCAGCGAGAGATGCTGCTGGGAGCATGTGGAGAAGGGCTTTGAATACCAGGGCAAGGAACATTGTGGTAGATTGTGTTTTTCAAAGATTGCTGCAACAATATGTTCATCCTACATTCTCTTCTTAAAATGTGATCCTGCTACCCCTCCCACTGCAGGCTGTGGTCTCTCTGCCTCTCTCTGGAACACAGGAGGAACTTTGCTACTGCCTTGACCAACAGAATATGGGGGAAGCGACATTGTGTGAATTACAAGGTTAGGTCATACAAATTCTATGCACTTCCTTTTTTTCTCTCTTGGGACATTTTCTCTTGGAACCCAGTCACCACGCTCTGAAGAGGCCCAAATTGGCCCACGTTGAGAGATTACATGCAGAGGCCAGGTATAGGTGATCTGGCAGTAGTAAGCTGAAGACCAGAATTAAACACGAGACATGTAAGTGAAGATAACTCCAGCTACTGCCAGCCCCCAGCAGTTGAGCACACCCCCAGTCTTTATGTCTTCCCACATGAGGCCCCAGGTATGGTGGAACAGCAATAAACCACCCTGCTGAGTCTTGTTTAAACGCCTAGCCCTCAGCATCGGCAAGATAAGGGCTGGTTTATGCCGCTCCCAGATGGTTGTCTCATGGGGTGATTTGTTAAACAGAAAGAGAAACTGGAAGGAACACACACTTCAGTGGGAGGCATTAAGGATAGAGGCACACTCTGAGCCATGCCAGGAACCCATAGCATCCAGCACAGGGCATCCTGAGCTGCCGGCCTCACTGACAGTCATGGCAGTCATCTTTGCTCCTCCAGTCGTGGTAATTCTCAGAAGGTTTTCATGGATAAACATGGGGCAGGTGGTGCAGAGACTGCTTGCCATCTCTCTCCACAAATGAAGAAACTGAGACTCAGTGAGAGTAAGTGGCTAGCTAAAGTCCCTACAGTGGGTGAGTGGACCAAGCCAGCATCTCCCACACCCAGCAAAGCACCATCTAATTCTTCCTATTACACTGGCCTCGGTACCCTCCCTGTCTCCTGCCCTTTCCCTGATAGATGAAGAAACTCTGGCCAGAGAACCTCCATGCC
Source organism: Homo sapiens (assembly GCF_000001405.40). NCBI lineage: Eukaryota > Metazoa > Chordata > Mammalia > Primates > Hominidae > Homo > Homo sapiens. Next base: position 194,746,450 of record NC_000003.12, read on the forward strand.
TTGTTCAAGGTCCCTAAAACAAGCAAACAACATCCAGCGACTGCTGGGCACCATGCCGCTTGCAGGGACGTGGGTTTCTCTGGTTGACTACAGGTGACCCTGGTGTCCATCATGACTATTGTGATGTCATAGCTTGTCTAGACTAACTCCTCATTATACCCATGGGCAAGCCAGAGCCTACCCATTTTTAAGGTCCATCCACCTGTCCCCTCCTCAATAAAGCCTTCCCTGATGTCTCCACCACTAATAATTAATCACCTTCTCCGTGAGCTCCAATAACACTTTGCTCACAACTCTACCATAGCATATTATATGGAAGTATCTCTACTTATATATCCAGTGATTAATGCTGGCTGTCAACTGGGCCTTTAGCTGGGCTGTTGCCAAGACACCTACAATGACCTCTCCATGTAGTCTCTCCACATTAGAGACAACTGATAAGTGTTAATGAACTAGAAATGCACCTGCAGGTCCAACAACCAACTGGAGAATCTGAGTGTGTATAAGGGGAGAGAAGCAGTGCTCATGTGGGTATCTGGGGGCAGGGAGGGAGGGAAGAGAGTTTGAGTTAAAACGAAATGACTTTTCATTTCCCTCGGCAACCCCGAGAGTCTGGGTTTTCTTCTGGAATGTTTTGCGTGACCCACTCTGGTAGCAGGCTCTCTGCCAGTACATCCTGACAGAAAGCTCACAATTAGGGCCACGGTAACCAGAAACAGAGCTGGAAGGGCTGCCCAGGGCAGGCAAACGGAGCCCGGCAGTGTGGTCTGCACCATGCTAAGTCAGGGATGTCTGCAGGCCTGGCCAGAACCCTTGTGGCTGTGGCGTATTTAGGATGATCGACAGAGGCTGGGCCGGCCTGTGTCCCAGCCAGTGATGGGCTGGGAACCAGAAGGCTGGAGCAGATCTCAGGCCGGCCACTTCTTCCAGTTCAGTGAGCTATTTTTTTTTAATTTTTTTTATTTTAGATGGAGTATCACTCTGTCACCCCGGCTGGAGTGCAGTGGCGCGATCTCGGCTCACCGCAAGCTCCACCTCCCGGGTTCTATTGATTCTCCTGCCTCAGCCTCCTGAATAGCTGGGGCTACAGGTGTGTGCCACTGCGCCTGGCTAATTTTTGTATTTTTAGTAGAGATGGGGTTTCACCGTGTTGTTCAGGCTGATCTCGAACTCCTGATCTTGTGATCCGCCCGCCTTGGCCTCCAAAAGCGCTGGGATTACAAGCGTGAGCCACTGCGCCCAGCAAGCCTCTACCACGTGATGTCACAGGTGTGGGCCCAGCGGTGCACAAGTAAGACCCAGCTCCTCCACGCCAGCTTGCCCATCACTTGGAAACTTACATTGCCTCTCTTGGGCTTACTTTTCTTGTCTGTAAGAACTGGGCACCTGTGAGACATTTAGCGTGGTGGACACGTGGCCACGCCGTGCATTCTGGCTGAGAGCAAGTGTTCTCAGCCATCTCCCTCAGACCCTAACTCCACAGACCTCCCTTTCTCAGCAGGGTGACTAACAGACCATCAGAGTGGCAGGAAATTGGAGAATCGCTACGACAGTCACCCAGCCTGGCTGGCAGCATTGAAAGAACAAACAAGTGAGCCTCCAGAATTAAGGAATTAAGGAGAAAAGCAGCCCTGACTTCAGAGGGTGATGGAAAGTTTGCAATAGATAAGAATATTGAGCTGAGAGAGGGAAGGGAATAAGCAATCTTAACTAGTCGGTTTCCTTCCCAAAGTCCTCTTCAGGTGATTTTTTTCTCAGGAGGTTCAAAGCACTTGCCAGCTCCCTCTGAGGTGGCTTCTCCCCTGCCCCTGTGGTGAGCGTTAGTCAGATGGGGATGATGGGGACGTGCCGCTCAGGCAGAGCACACAGGCTCCGTGGGGCGGCGGAGACAGCACCGGACAGGCCAGCGGAGTCGGGTGGCTGTGTTCGAGGCCCGTCTCTGGATAAGCTGCTTTCTCTGAGGCTCGGCTTTCTCATTGTGTCTGTAACGTGAGAGGTCGGCCCGTGGCCGCACGGACCCTGCTCCCATCCTGCCTCGCTGTTCCTTTGCATCTGCAGCTCCCCCTCTCCCTACCCTTCAGCTCTTACTGCACACACTCACCCCTGCTTCCGTTCTGGTTTCTCCTCTCCTCCCTCATCTCAAATGGTGCCCACTGCAAGTCACTCCTTCTCCATCTCTGACTGCAACTGGCCCTTCCTTGTCAAAAACCCTTCTTCCTCCAGCTCTGGGCAAGCACTCCCTCCTGTTCTCCTGAGCAATCAGATGCCACACAGGTTACTACAGTGCAGCCCTCTCAGCTCTGACTACTTATAAGACACCGTGGGCTCTGTTTAAACCTGAAAGCTCGATTCGCCCCAAGCCAATGGAATCCAGTGTCTTTTCAAAGCCTCCTGAAGGATTCGAATGCGCTCCCAGGGCTGAGAACTAAGGTGGTCCACACCTCTGTCCCATGTGGATTAACCTCCTCCCTTTATAAAAACAAATTCAAGGCCCTTCAAAAGCCTTTTTCTTTTTTTTAGACAGAGTCTCAGTCTGTCGCCCAGGCTGGAGTGCAGTGGCTCCATCTTGGCTCACTGCAACCGCCCGGGCTCAGTTGATTCTCCTGCCTCAGCCTCCTGAGTAGCTGGGATTACAGGCATGCGCCACTACGCCCAACTAGTTTTTTGTATTTTTAGTAGAGGCATGGTTTCACCATGTTGGCCAGGCTGGTCTTGAACTTCTGATCTCAAGTGATCCACCTGCCTCGGCCTCCCAAAGTGCTGGGATTACAGGCGTGAGCCACTGCATTGGGGCCAAATCCATTCTTAATGACGTCTTCCGTGTTCGGTTGGCTTTTGTCTTTTTTCTTTCCTTTATTTAAAAAGCCTTTGGCCGTCAAGCCCCGGGAATTGGTGGCATTCCCCAATCAGCTCACAGCGCATTTGCATGAGCGGTCCCTGCATGTCCCCTCTTTTCTTGTGCTAAAGGTGATTATCCCCAGGGCCAAATCCTATTCTTTTTTTTTTTTTTTTAACCCATAGACCATCATTTTGATATGTTTACCTTTTTGTTTGAACATGTTCTTGCAAAGTGTGTTCTTCTGTGTATACGTACTTTTACGTATGGCAATGACATGCCCTGTGGTCCCTGCCAGTGACTTGGCTTCCTGATGCTCCATAGGTACATCTTCCATAAAGACCGCGCCCTGAGCTCACCATTCCTCTTTCTGAGAGAGCTGAGGCAGTTCTTCCTTCAGGGGAGCAACCATTGTTCTAGGCTCAAAGCAAGTCTGAGAGAGACGCACACGTGTGGGATTCTAGGACCTTGACCCTCCACCGCAAACAGAGGCACTCACCTCTGCATTCTGGGAAACGGCAGTCTGTGTGTCAGCCAGATAAACACTTAAGTTCAGGGGCATCTGACAAACAGCTGTCCCCACCGACCTTGTTTTGTTGGTCCCATTTTCACAACTGTTGATGTGGCTTCCTGAGTTCCTGACCACTTGAATAAACAACCAAGAGCAGCAGCCTCGACTCCCTGCAGGACCCTGCGCAGGCCGCGCTGGGCAGCTGTCCATCAGCACCCCTGTGCACACAGAGAGCAGGCAGCAGACCAGCGCCCTGGACGGCTGGTACCGACGCCCTCCATCTGTCCGTCTGTCCCCAGGGCTGGGTGGACAGGGAAATCTCTTTACAGTGCAGACAGCGGAGCCTGGTGTTGAGACCAACTGACCTGATCTTGAAAGGACTGCATTCTCCTGCCACTGTCTGGCAGATTCCAGCTTGGGGCCTGTTTTCTGGAGCTAGCTGTCACATGAACCCCAGCCTGCTGGCTGGGAGATCCAGCCAGGTCAGTTTTATGGCCAAGAGAGCAACCAGTTACTATCTCGAGCTGGAGAAAATGGATTATCTTTAGTCCTTCTGTGCAAAACTAAAACCAAAATGTTTCTGTTTTTGGTTTGGGAGTGATGCATCTGGGCAGAGGGGTGAGGTGTTAGACTCAGTCCATGCCCCTCATTTTGCAAGGCTGAAACTGAGGCCAAAGGGACTTGCTCAGGGTCACAGAGTTGCAGAAAAGCCCCCAGTCAAACTCAGCGGTCCTGAACCCCAGGCTGTCCTTTCAATTCCCCAGCCTTTGTTCCAGGTTTCATCCCCCACAGGGCTGCTTGTCCTCATCAGTGCACAGTAATCTGAGGCTCTGCAGGAGGGGGCCGCCTTCTCTTTCATGCTGTGCTGTTGAGCGTAGACCGCAAAACGTGGAATACCTTGCCCAGGGTTTCTGTCCAGCTTTGCTGTGTATTTCAATCTTTTGAGCTTCAGTTTCCAACTCTGGGGAGAAGGGCTAACAAGAGTTATGATATATGCATCAGGAGCTTTAAAACAGTCATAGCCTTTAACCCAGCGATTGGACTTCTGGGAAATTATCCTGTAAAAGTGAATGAAAAAGCTTTATGCTCACAATGTTCATTGTGCACATAAGAAAAATGAATCTCCAAAACAGTTTCAAACTCACAAACAGAGCATGATCCCAGCTGAGTTAAAAAAAAAAAAAAAAAAGGGAAGGAGGCCAGGCGCGGTGGCTCACGCCTGTCATCCCAGTACTTAGGGAGGCTGAGGTGGGTGAGGTCAGGAGTTTGAGACCAGCCTGGCCAACACGGTGAAACCTCGTCTCTACTAAAAATACAAAAATTAGCCGGGCGTAGGGGCGGATGCCTGTGATCGCAGCTACTCAGGAGGCTGAGGCAGGAGAATTGCTTGAACGGGGAGGCGGAGGTTGCAGTGAGCTGAGATTGCGCCATTGCACTCCAGCCTGGGCTATAAGAGCAAGACTCTGTCTCAAATTAAAAAGAAAAAAAAGAAAAAAGAAGGAAGTAAATAAACAATACCCAGGGTTGCTCAGGTGATGGGTTTATAAATAATAGTTTCTTTATTCTTTTACTGTTTCAAAATGTTTTACCGTGTATCTACCATCATGCCTCACTTAACAATGGGAATATGTTCTGAGAAATGCATGGTTAGGCAGTTTTATTGTTGTGTGAACATTGTAGAGTGTACGCAAACTTAGATGGCGTAGCCTATTACACGCCTAGGCTCTATGGTGTAGCTTATGGCTCTTAGTGTACAAACCTGTACAGCATGTTACTGTACTGAATGTGGTAGGCAACTGTAGCACAATGGTAAGCATTTGTGTCTCTAAATATAGAAAAGGTACAGTAAAAATACAGTGTAAAAGAAAATAAAATGTATACCTTGGCAAGGTATAGATTTTAAAATGTGTACATAGTAAGTGCCCTGAACCTATATACCTGTACAGCGCATTTACCATGAATGGAGCTTGCAGGATGGGAAGTTGCTCTGGGCAAGTCAGTGAGTGAGTGAGTGCGGAGTGGATGAGAAGGCCTGGGAGTTGCTGTACATGACTGTAGACTTTATAAACACAAGACACTTTGGGTACACTACATTTACTCAGAAATTTTATTTCTTCAAAATAAATTAACCTTAGCTTACTGTAACTTTTTTACTTCATACATTTTTAACTTTTTAAACTTTTTGACTCTTTTGTATTATAATAACACTGAGCTTAAAACACAAATGTATTGCACAACTGTATACAAATATTTTCTTTCTTTTTTTTTTTTTAGACAGAGTCTCACTCTGTCACCCAGGCTGGAGTGCAGTGGCACAGTCTTGGCTCACTGCAACCTCCCACTCCTGGGTTCAGGTGATTCTCCTGCCTCAGCCTCCCCAGTAGCTGAGACTACAGGTGCATGCCACCACGCCCAGCTAATTTTTTTTGTATTTTTTTTTTTAGTAGAGACCGGGTTTCACCATGTTGTCCAGGCTGGTCTTGAACTCCTGACCTCATGATCCACTCACCTTGGCCTCCCAAAGTTCTGGGACTACAGGCATGAGCCACTCACCCGGCCCATATTTCCTTTCTTTATATCCTTACTCTATAAACTTTTTCTATTTATTTTTATTTTATAAATTTTTTGTTATAAAGACGCAGACACACACATTAGCCTAGGCCTGCACTAGGTCAGAATTATGAATATGGCTACCTTCTACCTCCACGCCTCATCCTACCGGAAGCTCTTCAGGGGCAGTAGTGTGAATGGAGCTCGTGTCTCCTATGATAATAGTGTCTTCCTCTGGAATACCTGCTGAAGGACTACCTGAGGCTGTTTCACAGTTAACTTAAAAAAAATACAAAAAGTATACTCTAAAATAATGATAAAAGGTGTAGCGTAAAAATACTAGACGATAGGAAGTTTTTGGCTCCATTATAATTTTATGGGACCACTGTTGTTGATGGAGTCTGTCAATGACCAAGATGTTACCATGTGGCACATGACTGCATATAAAGAAGGAAACATTTAAAATTCTAGCCTGTTTTACAGTGTTCTAAGCCAGTTTTTTCAACATTGACTATCAGATTAATTCTCACCGCAGCCCCGGAGTTAGGTATGGACTTGAACTCCATACCTCATTTACAAATGAGGAGGCTGAGGCCAGGGAAGTGAAGAGACTGTTTCTACCTGGGAGTGGAGGGGCCAGCAAGGGACCAGGCTTCTGGCTGTGGTGACAGGGCTCCTGCCATCAACATGCCTGCCCCTTAAAGCACAATGCCAAGACTAACCAAGGATGGGGCAGGGCGAATTGTTAGGCAGCCTGAGACCTGTATGTGAGGGGGACAGACAGCAGAGGGGGTGCCTGGGGTTCCTGACCCCCTTCCTCTGGCTAAAGCAGAGAAAGGGCTAGACACAGGCAATATCCACAGAGAGACTACATGGTGCCTGAACTTGAGCCTGTGACTTATTTTTTTTTTTTTTGAGACGGAGTTTTGCTCTTGTCGCCCAGGCTGGAGTGCAATGGTGCGATCTTGGCTCACTGCAACCTCCGCCTCCCGGGTTGAAGCAACTCTCCTGCCTCAGCCTCCCAAGTAGCTGGGATTACAGGCACCTGCCACCACGCTCGGCTAATTTTTGTATTTTCAGTAGAGATGGGGTTTCATCGTGTTGGCTGGCTAGTCTTGAACTCCCTACCTCAGGTGATCTGCCTGCCTCAGCCTCCCAAAGTCCTGAGAGCCATGAACCACAGCGCCCGGCTAGCCTGCAGCTTTTAAAAGCAGGGCTTGGTCCTTGAATTCATAAAGTGGTCACTGAGTTGCATCATCGGGGGGGTGGCGGGTGGCGGGAAGAGGGTCAGCAGTGCCAGGAGCAGGTAGGATACCATTTCCAAATCACGTACCACCGAACAACCATTTTCCGGTCTAGAAAATAATAGCAGCCGGCCCTCATCTGGTGGCCTCTTTCCCTGGGGTTGTGGTGCCCCGAGGGTCAGAGAGCCTATCAAAAGTCCTTGGTGTTTCAGGCCGCCTTTACTCCCCCTTCTCACTCATTCTACTCCTTTTTGGAAGCTCAGAGCTCCCCAAGAGAGGAATGCAGGCCTGGTGGCTCTGGGTTAAGAAGGCTGAGACAGAAGGTCCAAGCTGTCTCCGAAACTCACACAGAGGCTGGCAGGAGAGAAAAGACAGGCCACTTGGGCTCACAAGGTTGAGGGTCCAGGTGTCTGCAAAGGGGAGGGAGCATGCGGCTTGAACACGCGCTTGAGTGGTGCCTCAGCATCTCCCCCTGCCCAGGTAGCACCGTTTTGCAGCATCACCTCCGGTATCTCTGGGTAAGGTCCGCATTGCCTGAGCCCCTTGTCAGAGCACCTCCAACGTATGGGCAGTGGCTATGTCATCAGTGCCCTGAAGGATAAAATGTCACCTTGTGGTGAGCGTGGGAAGACAGCCCTAGCAAGAGGCGGAGAAGGCACAGGCCTTTCCTGCGTTTGGGTGTCTCACAGGGTCCGTCTGGCTGCAGTGTGGATGAAGAGTGAGTGTTGCAGGGAAGAAACCTCCCCCGGATGCCTGGCAGTGCAGGGTAACGGACAGAGCTCTTGAGGGTGAGATGCACCAGGATCCCCTGCATCGTGGGGAGCTTATTTAAAAATGCAGATTATGGGCTGTCCTCTGAGATTCTGGTTGAGTAGTCTGGGGCGGGGCCTAAGCATCAGTGTTTAAACATGTTCTCCGGACGATGCTGATGCATGTGGTCTCTGGACCACACTTGGGGATCCCTTGACTAAAAGGTTAGCCTGACTTGCCCACAGCCAGATAGAACTACACAGGCTCCAGAATATGTCCTTGTACTGACACCATCTCGTCTCTGGTCCGGAAGCCCAATTAAGGCGCCCATATAATCCACCCCAAAGAGGCATCTCCTCATTCTCCCAGATGCTGCTGAGATGTCTTTCTGGGAATTTCTGCATTTTCCCATGGGAAGGAGGATTTTATATATTCTCAATGTTTAGTTTTGGGGGACAAAGTACACATAAGTGCTTCTCACCCTGGGTTACCTGGAACTCTAGTACTCCACGGTGCCATAAGCAAGTCCTTGAACTATTCCAAAAACTCTTTATTTTTTTATTTTTGAGATGAAGTCTCACTCTATCGCCCAGGCTGAAGTGCAGTGGTATGATCTGGGCTCACTGCAACCTCCACCTCCCAGGTTCAAGCGGTTCTCCTGCCTCAGCCTCCTGAGTAGCTGGGACTACAGGCGTGCGCCGCCACACCCAGCTAATTTTTGTATTTTTAGTACAGGCGGGGTTTCATCATGTTAGCCACTGGTCTTGAACTCCTGATCTCAAGTGATCCACCTGCCTTGGCCTCCCAAAGTGTTGGTATTACAGGTGTGAGCTACCACACCTGACCCCCCCAAAAACTCTTAACTATAATAAAACTGTACGGCTAATATTGCTTTTGGTGCAAAACACATCCATTTAGCATGCAGACATTGGGCTGAATCCACTGCAGCGAACATGTATTAAGTCCTCACTGTGGGTTCGGCAGGGCTGGCCTGGAGTTTACATGTTTTCGTGTCACTGATTCATTAGCACATGGGTAAACTAGTTATTAATTAATGCACTCAAGCAGGCAATGTTGTCCGAAAGAAAGATTCCACACAGGGAACAAAATAATGACACTTAAAAGGTTTGACTGGTGGAGAATGAGGTGCTGCTGGGGCCTCCTGCCTCCCACGGGATCCCAGCTTGCAGGGAACCTTGGGGACTCTGGGTCGTGCGGAGTTGGGGGCGTTCCCCAGAGAGCGTTGTCATGGCCTGCAGGGAGCAGTTATCGAAGAATCAGGTCAAGTGGGGGTTTGCTGGCATTACCTGTGTTTCTGTAGTGGTCATTGCCGCGATAGTCCTTGCCATCGCCTTGCGGTGGCCAGGCTGTGAGCTGGAGGCCTGCAGCTCCGAGGCCGACATGCTGGATTACCTGCTGAGCCTGGGCCAGATCAGCTGCCGAGATGCCCTGGAGGTCACCTGGTACCACGCAGCCAACAGCAAGAAAGCCGTGACAGCTGCCCTGAACAGCAACATCACAGTCCTGGAGGCTGACGTCAATGTAGAAGGGCTCGGCACAGCTGACGAGACAGGAGCTCCCATCGTGGCACACCCTCCGGCTATCTACAGTGATGACACACTGGAGCAGTGGCTGGATGGTGTGCTGGGCTCTTCCCAGAAGGGCATCAAACTGGACTTCAAGAACATCAAGGCCGTGGGCCCCTCCCTGGACCTCCTGTGGTAGCTGACAGAGTGGGGCAAAGTCCGGCGGCCCATGTGGATCAACGCTGACATCTTAAAGGGCCCCGACATGCCCATCTCAGCTGAGGTCAGTGCCACACAGTTCCTGGCCCTGGTCCAGGAGAAGTATCCCAAGGCCACCCTGTCTCCAGGCTGGACCACCCTGTACGTGCCCATGTTCCCAAACAGGACGTACACCCGAGCCATGGTGGAGAAGATGCACGAGCTGGTGGGAGTGGTGCTCCAGAGGGTCACCTTCCCTGTGCGGTCTTCCACAGTGCGGGCCGCCCAGGCCCACTCCAGCTGGCTGCTGAGCCAATCTGAGAGGTACAGCCTGACGCTATGGCAGGCTGCCTCGGACCCCATGTTGGCAGAGGATCTGCCCTACGTCCAGGATAACACTGCTGTCCACCACGTCTACTGTGATATCTTTGAGCCTTTCCTGTTGCAGTTCAAGCAGGTGGCCTCTACTTGGCAGGGTGCCATGAGGCTTAGAGAGGATGGCTGTAGAGCTGTGGCCTACAGAAGGTGTTTCATGAATAGCAGCCACCTCACCTTGGCGATTTGGGGCCCCACAGTGAATGCCACATGGAAACAAATGTACTACACGGGAGGCAGCCTGATCCCTCTTCTCCAGCTGTTCGAGGGTGATGGTCTTCTCAATGCTGCCCCAGGGGTACAGCAATGGTAACCCTCCCAGACACAGAAGGCATGATCCTGCTGGACACTGGCCTCAAGGGAACTGTGGCTGAGAACCCCGTGCCCACTGTTTGTGCTCCAAGTGGCAGCATCCTGAGGTTGGAGTCCTGCCTGCAGCAGCTGGCCGCACATCCCAGACACTGGAGCGTCCATTTGCAAATAGTGGAGCCCGCAGCCCTCTGGCCGTCCCTGGCCTTGCTGGCATCCCTGTCCAGCCTTGGCTTCTTGCATCGGCCTGTGTGGATGGGGCCAACATCTCCCACGGGAGCTTTTCAGTCCTCGGCCACATGGCTGGCAGAGAGCTGCTTACAGCTGTGGCTGAGGTCTTCCCCCATGTGACTGTGGCACCAGGCTGGACTCAGGAGGTGCTGGGCAGTGGCTACAGGGAACAGCTGCTCACAGATATGCTAGAGCTGTGCCAGGGGCTCAGCTTCCAGATGCAGGCCAGGCCACGGGGCCACAGCACGCCTGGAGCTGTTGCCAGGCTGCTGGCATCCTCCCCTGGGGCTACTGTCACAGTGGAGCACAGCCCAGCTGGGGGCAACTATGCCTGTGAGAGGACAGCGCTGCTGGGAGCCAGGGCTGTAGACAGAACCCGAATCTACTACACGCTGCCCCAGGGGTACCACAAGGACTTGCTGGCCGATGTTTGCAGAAACTGAGCACCCAGGGGTGGTGGGCCAGCAGACCCCAGGGTGGAGTCTTCCCATGGGGAGGCAGGAAGAAATAAAGACCTTTGCCTTTCTCCAGGCAAAACAAAACAAAAAAGAAAGGTTTGAAACCCTGGTCTGGATATCTAGCTTATTGTGTGTGGTCAATAGAAGATTTTTAATAAATGAAAAATGTTTTACTCACCTTTTCACTGCTTTGCTAGAAAAGACAACTTGGAGTTTCCAAGAGAACAGTCTGTGCCCTGGCTATATTTCAGAAATGTTCATTCTATTCAGTCCAGCTGCAGGGAAAAGGATTGTTGCTGGAAGAAAGGGCCTACTTTACACAGCTGTATCTAGGGAAGGCTGAGGGTTGCTCCCCATGGCCCTCTGGTTCTCCCCCTGACTGTTTTATGGTCAGGCCCATGTGCAGCTGCTGGGATCCCTAATGATGCCTGATATATGGGGAGCTTAAGTGGCTACATTTAAGGCTTAGATATTAGCAGGGGACTCTTGCACTGTCTGAAGACGAGCAGTTGATGTATTCCGTGTGCTGTAGTCTGCCAGCCCATTAGAATTTAATTAGGCACATTCTTTCCTGACAGCCTTATGGTGCTCAGGAGCAAGATGCTTTTGGCTTTGTGGCTGCATTTGGAACTCATTCTTTCTCCTTTTTTTCTGGAAGCTCTCAGCATCTCCTCTGCCTTCAGAGAACCTGTGGTGGTGTGTATCAGAATCACTCCTGGAGATTTTGAGTCAGTTGGTCTGGGACAGCTATCTTCCTTTTAATAATCCTCCACAGGTGACTCTGAATTGCTCTGAGGCCTGAGACATGCTGACCTCTGTAGGTTAATGATCCTCAAGCCAACACCTCCACTCCAGACCTCCCGAGCTTCAGACATACGCAACCTTCTGTCTTTTGGGCAGCTCCACCTGGAATGTCTACGAGGCGCCTCAAGCTCCAAGTAGATGTCCTATAAGTTTTGGAGTCCCTCACCTGCTCTGTATTCAGTTCATTCTATTTATTTATTCTTTCTTCCAAAATATCTCTTCATTCTCTCACCTCCTAAGGAAAATTCTGCCTTTTGTAAACAAGGTCTAGTTGTCACTGGATGGAGAAGCTGTTTCTCTGATTCACCTGATTTCCCTTTTACTTGAGAATTTCTCCCTAACCATTGCTCCCATCTCGTAAATAACTTATAATAACTTCGGTAGGGGCCTGTGATTTCCCCCGCATGCATGCATGCTTCTTCCCTTAGTTTCCTCTAGTACAGCTGAGACAAGGCTGGAAAACCTGACTGGATTTGTCCCACTGGAGACTCAGTGACAGGTGAAGGGAGATCAACACAGGGTGTACTGTGACCCAGGATACCTGGCATTCAGCACCTTTCCCTTTGAAGCCTGAAGGGCCTGCCTCACCTGAACTCCCCCTAGCATCCCTATGGCAAGTACTATCTTGGCACTTGCCAAGTTGAGTGTGTGCCCAGAACAGGTCTTTACCCAGAACAGCTGGAGCAAGGTCCTCTCCCTGCTTCCCCGCTTCATTTCTGCTTCTTGTCAGAGCATCCATCTGGTTCTCAAATGGCTGGTGTTGGATATAACCACTCCCTTCAGAGGAGACCATGCCTATTCCAGGGCCAGGGTTGCATAAGGTTCAGCACTGCAACCAAACCAAAATATGACATAGTGACCCCGATTTTAATGATGAACTCACATTACACCCCCTGGCCATGCCATTGCCGCTGCCTTAGTTCCAGGCTTCAGTAGCTCTTGCCAACCAGTAGCAGAAGGCTCCCCTCCCATCTTTGACCACATCCAGTCTTCCCACAGTAGCTGGACCCACAATCCTAAAACTACAGAATATCACCATTTAGCAGTTCTCAAACTATTTGGTCTTAGGATTCTTTTACGCTATAAAAAATTACTGACGAGGCAGGCGGATCATGAGGTCAGGAGATCGAGACCATCCTGGCTAACACAGTGAAACCCCGTCTCTACTAAAATACAAAAAATTAGCCAGGTGTGGTGGCATGTGCCTGTAGTCCCAGGTGCTCAGGAGGCTGAGGCAGGAGAATCGCTTGAACCTGGGAGGCGGAGGTTGCAGTAAGCTGAGATCACGCCACTGCATTCCAGCCTGGGCGACAGAGCAACACTCCGTCAAAAAAAAAAAAAATACAGAAAACCCCAAAGATATTTTGTTTATGTGACTTATATCTGTCCGTATTTACTATATAAATTAAAACACAGAAATTTAACAAATATTAACTTACTAATTCATTTAAAAATAGCAATAATAAACTCATTACATGTCAACATAAATAACACGTTTTAACTAAAAAGTAATCGTATTTCCTAAAACAAGAAACAAAATTGCTTACAAGAGTGACATCGTTTTATGTCTTTGCAAAACTTTTTAATGCTTGAATCAATAGATTAAGCCAGTGACTCATCACTGTTCCTGCATCCAATCAGTTGTGCCACGTTGTTTTGGCCAAAGAGTGTGAGAAAAATCTGGCCTTATATAGACGTGTAGTTGAAAAGGAGAGGAGTATTTTAATAGTCTTCTTGACAATTATGGGTTTTTTGTGTTTTGTTTTGTTTTGAGATGGAGTCTCACTGTGTTGCCCAGGCTGGAGTGCAGTGGCACGATCTTGGCTCACTGCAACCTCTGCCTCCCGGTCAAGTGATTTCCAGCTAATTTTTGTATTTTTAGTAGAGATGGTGTTTCACCCTGTTGGCCAGGCTGGTCTCAAACTCCTGACCTCAAGTGATCCACTTGCCTCAGTCTCCCAAAGTGCTGTGATTATAGGTGTGAGCCACCTCGTCGGGCTGAGTGGTTCTTTTTTTTTTTTTGGATTCTATACCCAAACTCAAGAAGTGATAGTTTCTTAAAGGTTTATTACAATATGGAATCTGAAACTATATCAATAAACTTCTTGTACTATCTCACATTAAAATCCATCCATTTCTCCTGTACTTTGAACGTGTCTTTTGCTTGCGCGTGGTTGCCTAATATTAGATGTGGATAATTTGAAAAATATTGGTTCCCTGTGTGATATACATTTTCTAAATGTTGACGTTTTTACTATCCAATATTTAGATAGCACAATTCGTTAGTATTACCATTGGAATATCATTGGAAAACTCCTTAAGTATTATTGGGAAGCTGTCAAGCTCACAGTGGTAAACACAAGTTTTCCAAAATTCTGATTCTCACTGGAAAGCTCGGATTTTATTATTGGCAACAAATACCATCAGTTGTTTTCCTGGAAGAAACAGTCTCAGGAGATCCATTTTTGAGAAAACAGCTGCCAAAACCCCAATCTGAATATCCTTAATTTGTCTGCCAGTCGTTTCTCTTAAGTAAAAATGTATCTTCTGAAAAAAAGTGATTAGTTCACTTAACCGAAGCACTCACACAAGTCATTTTTCCTTGAGACAATCATTGTACATCGATGTGTGGCAGAAGTGGTACTTCTAGTGGTACTTACCAGTCCACACAGAATGTTAAAACAAGGTGTTACGCAAGGGTTGACATTTCATAACGTAATAACTTCTACTCTTTGATCATAGAGAAGCTTACGTGTGGCTTTTTAAATAATTTACTTTTTGCCATGAGTGTGTGGTAGTGGAGAATACGACAGCTGTCAGTACAGTGTAGTGTCACTATCTTGATCTGTGCTGAGGGGACAGCAGTTTTACCCCCTGTTGCTTATGCACCATTATTACAAACGTCAGCATAGGGAGAAAAGGCAAATAATGACTTCATCTCATTATGAAAATTTGACCTCATGGAACCTCCACCACAGGGTCCTCTTGGGAATCCCAGGGATCCAGAGTGCACATTTTGAGAACTTTCCATGTTTCCCCACTTCCAATAGGCTAAAAAAAGGCTAGACCGGTGGTGGCATTTCATGAACCCCAATCTTCTTCCTATTCTTCTGCCGGCACTGTCCATAAAAATGTGATATGTAAGGAGGAATAGCTGGGAGCCTGAGTCCTGTCTGTGGGGGAGAGAACTTCAGGTGTTGCCAGCAAGCCCAGCTGTAATTGAAACATCTCAGGGAGGCTGCTGGGGGGCGGGGGTTGACATCAGCCAGGTGGCACTCAGCCCCGGGGCACTCAAGGCTTCAGCAGTTTTGTGGAAAGTCTGGTGTGTGCTTTGCTGGAATCCTGAGGCTGTGGGAGTTGCCAGTTCCAGCAATGACCTCATTACAACTGAGTGATTGAATAAGGCAGGGACCTTTCAAGGAGATCAGCAGGTTAGAATGACTGTCAATTAAAACGCAGAGCAGCATCTGCAGCAGGTGGGAAAGGAGTGTGATTTGGCTTTTGCAGAAGGGGAAATGGCATTTACAGAGGTAAAGTGAATAGGCGACAGTCGTGGAGGGAACTGGCTTCTAAGATCTAGATTCAGAGACTTTTAGGGCTAAAAGAGAACTTAGACGTCAGCCGGACAAATTGAGTTGGAAGGAGTGGGAAGATTGCTCAGGACTCCAGCAGAGCTGCTTCGGCACGTAAGTCAGCCAGACAGCCCAGCCGGTTCCTGTCCCACCTCACCAAGGTGGCACTGTACCCCTCTTTCTCCCATCTCCCAGCGGGACAGCGTCCTATAAAGGAGGCCAACTGCTCCATGTATCTTTGGTCTGGTGACGTTTTCAGAGTGAGGTTGGCCAGAAGACTCCCAAGTCATAGAGAATTAATCAGGCGGGACACAGAGTTTTTAATCCCCATTTTACAGATGCAGAGAATGAGCCCCAGAGAGAATACGTGACTTGCCAAGATCACATTAGTAAGTGGCAGAGGACGAACTTGAACTCAGGTCTTGAGGCTTATAGTTCCACTGACATGCGATGGTGTAGAGAGGAGAGTTCAGGGTCTGAAGACAGAAAAGCAGGATTTTTAGTGCCTTTGATATTTAATAGCTGGGTGACTTTTGGTCAAGCCATTTTATTTCTCTGAATCTCGGTGTCCTCATTTACAAAATGAGCATAATATACATCGTCTATCCTAAGCTCATTCACAGGGTTGTTTTAGAGCGTCAAATTACATGGTTTTTATAAATATGCCTTATATACTGTGAATCTCTTTAACAAGTTTGAGAGGGCTCCCATGCCCAGATAATTAACCATGCCAGCCCTATCAAGTGGGGCCATTCTT